>NW_025791777.1:1325653-1480839 GCF_000001405.40 Homo sapiens | reverse complement strand
AAAAGAAAACGAATCTATAAGAAATGCTGAAGAGAGGCCTGGCGCGATGGCTCACACCTGTAATCCCAGCATTTGGGAGGCCAAGGCGGGCAGATCACGAGATCAGGAGATCAAGAGCATTCTGACTAGCATGGTGAAACCCTGTCTCTACTAAAAATACAAAAAAGTAGCTGGGCGTGGTGGCAGGCGCCTGTGGTTCCAGCTACTCCAGAGGCTGAGGAAGGAGAATCTCTTGAACCCAGGAGGTGGAGGTTGCAGTGAGCCAAGATCTGCATTCCAGCCTGGGCAACTCTGTCTCCAAGGGGGAAAAAAAAAGAAAAGAAAAAGAAACGCTGAAGCTAGTGGACATTGCTGAGTGTAGCTAAACGTAAGCCCAGGAGCATAAAGTCTATGTGGGAATTAAAGGTCAAGCAAGCAAGTGGGCACAACCTACTGACTCACCTGTGTAGAAAAGACCTGCTTTGGCCAGTGCTGCAACTCCCACAGCTGATTCCCGGGGCCAGTCCTTAAAAGAGTCCAGCCGTAGTTCTTCGTAAGCAAAGATGCTGTCATTGCAATAAGCTTGAATAAAAAGCACAAGGTGAGACCAGCAGGCTTTAGTCTTTTTTTTTTCTATATCTTTATTGCTGCTGCACAAATTAAAGAGACCAGTAGGCTTTGATATTGCAAGTATCAGCGTTCAAGTTGTCCCTTCACAGTTACAGATGGAATGATGTCTAGAGTTTGCTTCAAAATAAACGGGGCGGGGCGGGGGGGACGACAAAAAGAGATAGGGACAAAAAATCAAAAGAAGAAATAAACAAGCAAAGCCTTTGGAAAATGTTTGAGTTTTTACCTGATGCCATAGGTAATTCTCTCTGGACCCAGGAATTCACAAAATGTTCTCCCTGAGGGAAATTAAAATTCAAGTTGTTGATTATCTGACTTTTTTTTTTTTTTTTTTTTTTGAGGCAGAGTCTCACTCTGTTGCCCAGGCTGAAGTGCAGTGGCAGGTTCTCGTCTCACTGCAACCTCCGCCTCCTGGGTTCAAGTGATTCTCCTGCCTCAGCCTCCCGAGTAGTACAGGCATGTGCCACCACACCCGGCTAATTTTTTTTTTTTTTTTTGTATTTTTAGTAGAGACAGACACGATGTTGGAGGTCTTTTTTTTTTTTTTTTTTTTTTTTTGAGACAGAGTCTCGCTCTGTCGTCCAGGCTGGAGCACAGTGGCACGACCTTGGCTCACTACAAGCTCCGCCTCCCAGGTTCACGCCATTCTCCTGCCTCAGCCTCCCGAGTAGCTGGGACCACAGGCGCCTGCCACCATGCCGGGCTAATTTTTTTTTTTTTTTGTATTTTTAGTAGAGATGGGGTTTCACCATGTTAGCCAGGATGGTCTCTATCTCCTGACCTCATCATCCGTCCGTCTCGGCCTCCCAAAGTGCTGGGATTACAGACGTGAGCCACTGCACCCGGCCCATGTTGGAGGTCTTGAGGCTGGTCTCGAACACCTGATCTCAAGTGATCTGCCCAGCTCGGCCTCCCAAAGGGCTGGGATTACAGGCATGAGCTACTGCACCCAGCCTGATTGTTTGACTTATGAAGTATATACCTATCTATGAACAAGAACTGAAGGAACTTTACCCCAGAATGAAGAGTTTCACTGGATGGAACGGCAGAGTCGGAGGAGAATTATTCCTTTAATTTTTATTTCTGTTGATGTTGCAATTGTTTTTATGCAGTGCAAGCAAACATACACACACACACACACACACACACGCATGCAAGCTGTGAATGTTTATGCATACTCAGGAGGAAGCCTTCTCAGGGTCACTGTTTCCGGAAACTGACCTTGAAAACAGACCTGCATTTAAATATCACAGATGTACTTTGAAGAATGAGGAAGTAAGAGACATAGAATGGTAACTAAATTCATCAGGGTATTATATATTGAGCAACTGATTCTTCTGGGAAAGCTGCACCCAATTTCTTTTTGAGGAAACACCTCTCTTCCCCCACTGTCAGGCCATGTTCTCTATAGAGTTCTGGTCTCCTGAGTCATGTTAATCAATAAATTCTCATTTTTGTTTAAGCCAGTTTGGATTCGATTTCCCATCACTCTCCACTAGGAAATTTTTACTGATTCAGGATAGTTAGCCAGCTAGGAAGAGCCAGCTCTGCAGCCCACTGTGGGTGACAGCGCCTAGGTCAGGAGATCTTAGCAAGCCTGCAGATAGGGGCAGCAGAGGGAAGCTGGGGCAAGTGGCTTCATTCATAAAGGGGAAGACTATCAGGAAGGCAAGCAGAGCCCGTCAGAAGCCAGCCCTGGAAAAAGAAAAAGGCTCTAGGTCAGCAAGTGAATGTGATATTTTTCACTTTGAAGATGGGAGCCAGGGGAATGAAAGGAGAAAGGAAGAAAGAAATCAAACCCATGACATAAAAAGAATGCCTATGCCCTTCTGAGTCAGACACTTACAGGTAATCCAAAAACTTGAGAAAAAAATTGCTGTTATACATTACCGTTATGTCAACAAATCCCTTGTAGCTTTGAATATACTGGGTAATTTCCTCTGAGGATTTCTTACTCCGAAGAAATTCACATCTGTAATTAATAAATATAATTAAAATTTACCCCAGTACTGTGATAGAGCTGTCCTATATCACAATGAACATTTATAAAGACGTATTGAATTGTTGAATTTTATTATACTTCAATAAAATTGCCAAAAAATTTACCACAAAACTTAGGAGAATTACCATTATTCTCATATAATTATTTGTTATTTCTATTAGTGACAACATGTGTAGTTATTTAAAATTAAATCTTCAGGTTAACTTTTTTCTTGAAATAAAACATGCAATACAATCAAAGAGACTGATTTACAGTAAATATAGGATGGAGCTTTTGTTTTTTGGAATTAAGCAGTGGTGACTAAATCTAGTCGCTAGGGTTATATGAAAGCTACTGGCAGTAAAGAGAACTATATTTAAAATAATAGGCCAGACGCAGTGGCTCACATCCAGGAGTTCAAGACTAGCCTGGGCAACATGGCAAAACCCCATCTCCACAAAAAATACAAAAATTAGCCGGGCATGGTGCCACACCTCTGTAGTCCCAGCTACTCAGGAGGCTGAAGGGGGAGGATCACCTGAGCCCGGGGAGGTAGAGGCTGCACTGAGCCATGATCAGGCTGCTACACTCCAGCCTGGGCAACAGACTGAGACCCAGTCTCAAAAGTAAATACAAAAAATCTTTTTAAGATAACAATATATTTATCTACTGAACAAAAAATTACCATGCATTAAAAAGTAATGGCTATTAGGCCAGGCGTGATGGCTCACGCCTGGAATCCCAGCACTTTGGGAGGCCGAGACAGGTGGATCACGAGGTCAGGAGTTCGAGACCAGCCTGGCCAAGATGGTGAAACCCTGTCTCTACTAAAAGTACAAAAATTAGCTGGGTGTGGTGGCAGGCGCCTGTAATCCCAGCTACTTGGGAGGCTGAGGCAGGAGAATCGCTTGAACCTGGGAGGTGGAGGTTGCAGTGAGCTGAAATCATGCCACTGCACTCTAGCCTGGGCAACAGAGCAAGACTCAATCTCAAAAAAAACCAAAAACAAAAAAAGTAACGGATGTTAATGGATAATTTTTGATTTTTTTAAAAAAGAGCACACTGAATACCATTTAAAAACATATTCCTTTCCCATAAAAGAGAAGCAGTTTTAAAATTAACTTTTAAAATTTCCTCCAATTCAGCTGGGCATGGGGGATCATGCCTGTAATCCCAGCACTTTTGGAGGCTGAGGCGGGTGGATCACTTGAGGCCTGGAGTTTGAGACCAGCCTGGTCAACATGGTGAAACCCCATCTCTACTGAAAATACAAAAATTAGCCAGGCATGGTGGCGGGCGCCTGTAATCCCAGCTGCTTGGGAGGCTGAGGCGGGAGGATCACTTGAACCTGGGAAGCAGAGTTTGCAGTGAGTCATGATTGTACCACTACACTCCAGCCTGGGCAACAGAGAGAGACTCTGTCTCAAAAAAAATAAAAATAAAAATAAAAATCCCTCCAATTCAAATTTAAGTTTTCTTTCTATGGTGCTGTAGCAAAGAATGGGCTGGGAACCCAAAGGCTGGAGCATTAGTACCCGCTCTTCCACCAGTGGGGATGTGACCAACCTTGCCATGTTCTCTTATAATCACAGGAGAACATGGATGCCATCAGATGATCTGCATATTTCCCCAGGGCCATGATTCTATGTGATAGGCAGCCAGGGTTCCCAGTTTTCAGGTGTATAAATGTTTCCAAGGATTGCCGTAAGTCTGCACATAACCTACATGGCACACAATGCACGGGGTGGTTCCCTGTCCTCATGATTTATATGGATTGAGGAGGAACTCAGTACCTTAAAAAGTTACCATAAAATCATCTTACATTTATGGAGTGCCACATTTTAAAAAGTGTAAGGGTATACTCATTTTGTTGACAGTTGATAAAAAGAAGCAACAAATTGAAGTCCAGAAAGCTAAAGACAGAGTAACCCAACAAGAAACTTGGGGATTCTTGCTCTAATTCCAGCTCTTAGATTTTATTGACTGACCATGTGCTTATGACGACAAACAAATGAAAGGCAAAACAGTTGGTCATCTGTCATCCTCACATTATACATGGTAATTTTTACAAAGCATTTGATCCATATACTTTGTTTCTCATCCTTACAACCACCAGACAAGCTGTACATTATTATCTGCTGTGGAAGTCGCAGATACCAAGATGAAATCACTTTTATCAGACCCACACAAAATAGGGCTGGGAAGGCACGAAGGAGTGGGGTTCAGGCTTTCATGTCCAAGACAGGAACGGTTCCAAAGACTTTCTAAGAATCCCATAAGAAATCCCTTCACGCCTGTCACGCATCTCCTGCTTTGCATTGCTTGCATGTACGCACATATTTCTATGGCAAGGTTTATCACTGCACATTCTTTTGGACTGCAGCAATTCAGATAAGATAACATGAGATGAGATGCTGTCAAAAGAACACCTGCCCAGGAACAGCATCTCCACCAATGAACACACAAGAACTCTGGCTTTGAGCCTTCAGAACCAAGGAATTCTCTTCTGCCCTCTCTCCTCTCCCCTCTCCCCCGTCCCCTGTCTTCTCTCTCCTCTCCCCTCTCCCCTCTCTCCTCTCTCTCTAAAGAAACTGGAGCCTCATCACATTGCCCAGGCTGGTCTCAAACTCCTGGCCTCCAAAGACCCTCCCGCCTCAGCCTCCCACATAGCTGTGATTACACGTATGAGCTACCATGCCCAGCTATGAACTCTGTTTCTAAGCAGCTTATGTGAACTTCTCCCTTTTGCCAAGAAAAATTCCCTTTACTCTTCCCTCACTGCACGTGCCTGTGGTTTACAGTAGTGCATTCCAAATCATAACCCTCTTTTCTTATTCCTGAATAAATTTGACATATTTGGGGATATCTGTCTCTAATTTTTTTGTTGTTGTTGACACTGCATTTTACATATGAGATTCAGACAAGGTCAGTCACCTGCCTAGGGTCTGGTAGTCAGGTAGCAGCAGATTCAAGCCTGGCTCTATCTCCTAAGCCTCTGCACTACCCCCTGCCCTTGTTTGCTGGCCTGAACTCCTTCCTCTCTAGGAGTGGTTGCTGGACTGCTGTCTCCCCTCCCTGTGCTTATTACCTTACCCTCTGACTATGTTAGAGAAGGCATATGAAGGCCCCTGCAGACAGGATGTGCGGCTCTAGTAGGTGCTAGTCACATGATAATGTGATCATGTGTGAGTGGTGCCACTGGTACTTGTCCAGTGTATAACCCAGCGACACTAAACACAGTGACCCTGAGGCTAAGTGAAGCCTGAGCTGAGGCTAGAGCTGAGACAGGTGCCCACGAGCAGCGGCTTGTGCTCCAGCCGGGGCTGCTGTTCCCTGTTACATATGCATATATGGTGCACTGTCAGCATGGACAAGGACTGCCTGGGTGGCTGTTTTGATTCGTCAGGGAGCCAGAGTGACTGTCAAATGATTTCACAATTCTAGCTTCATTCGTCCCTATAACCATCTCATCTACTTGTCTAACTTTCTCTCTCTCCTCTTCCTGCCTTTCTCCTCTCCTCCCTTGTTTACTTCCTCCCTCCTAATCTCCTCACTTTCTTTTCAACTATGAAAGTAATATATACTTGTTTCCAAAAATTTAAACAAGACAGCAATGAACAAAATAAATGTGAAAATCCATCACTACTTCACCCCCTGACAAATCCAGATCCAGAAGTATCTACAGTTTGGTTTACATATTTTCATAAGGTTTTCTATATATTTTCAAGCAACTCCATATATAGTTTGAGTGGTTTTAAACATTTTCAAAGTCTCACACTGCACTTATTGTGCATATTGCTTTCCCACACAACGTATCAAAACATATCAAAGATATCCATTCACTTTTTTTTTCTTTTGAGATGGAGTCTCACTCTGTTGCCCAGGCTGCTGTGCAGTGGAGTGATCTTGGCTCACTGCAACCTCCGCCTCCCAGGTTCAAGCAATTTCTTGCCTCAGCCTCCCGAGTAGCTGGAACCATAGGCACGCACCACCACGCTCGGCTCATTTTTGTATTTTTAGTAGAGATGGGGTTTCACCATGTTGGCCAGGGAAGAGGGGAGATAGGAGAGGAGAGAGGAGAGAGGGAAGAGGGGAGAGGAGAGTTCATCACTTGAATGAACTCCTGGCCTCAAGTGATTTGCCCGCCTTGGCCTCCCAAAGTGCTGGGATCACAGGTGTGAGCCACTGTGCCCAGCCTTTTTTTTTTTTTTTTTTTTTTTTTGAGATGGAGTCTCGCTGTGTTGACCAGGCTGGAGTGCAGTGGTGCAATCTCAGCTCACTGCAACCTCTGCCTCCCGGGCTCAAGCAATTCTCCTGCCTCAGCCTCCCAAGTAGCTGGGGTTACAGGTGCCTGCCACCACGCCTGGCCAATTTTTGTATTTTTAATAGAGACAGGGTTTTACCATGTTAGCCAGGCTGGTCTTGAACTACTGACATCAAATGATCCGCCTACCTTAGCCTCCCAAAGTGCTGGGATTACAGGCATGAGCCACCATGCCGGGCCTCCATTCACTTTTGTGGGCATGGCTGTCCATGTGCAAGATGACTTATAAATGTAAATAACTGTGTCCAGTTTTGTAGTTAATTTAGTATCCAACCAACAACTTTGCATGTAGTAGGTGTGTGACAAATATTTGTTAAAGAAAATAGAATCTGAGGCTGGGCACGGTGGCTCATGCCTATAATCCCAGCACTTTGGGAGGCCGAGGCAGGTGGACTGCCTGAAGTCAGGAGTTCGAGACCAGCCTCGCAAATATGGAGAAACCCCGTCTCTACTAAAAATACAAAAACTAGTCAGGTGTGGCAGTGCGCACCTATAATCCCAGACCTGGGTGGGGTGAGGCAGGAGAATCGCTTGAACCCAGGAGGCAGAGGTTGCAGTGAGCCAAGATTGCACCGCTGCACTCAAGCCTGGGCAACAGAGTGAGACTGTCACAAAAAAAAAAAAAAAAAAAAAAGAAAGAAAGAAAATAGAATCTGAGCCTGACCAAACTGCTAGATCCAAGTGTCAGGTTCCTGGAAATGCAGAAGGTAGAGGAACATGTTAGACTATGCCAGAGGAACACATTCTGCCAAATCTAGAGTAGAGGGAATTTTACAGGACAGATTACATGGCTTCTTTAACAAATAAGTGACAAGAAAAAAGAGATGGATAAAGAGGAAATCTACGAATTAAAAATCTTAAGGGGCTGAGCACAGTGGCTCATGCCTGTAATCCCAGCACTTTGGGAGGCTGAGGTGGGAGGATCACTTGAGCCCAGGAGTTTGTAGAACCAGGAGTTCCAGACCAGCCTGGGCAACAAAGTGAAACCTTGTCGCTATAAAAGATATGAAAATTAGCTGGGCATGGTGGTAGGCACCTGTGGTCCCAGCTACTCAGGACGCTGAGGTGGGAGGATTGCTTGAGTCTGAGAGGTGGAGGTTGCAGTGAGCTGAGATTGCACCACTAAACTCCAGTCTGGGCTCCAGTCTGGGCAACAGAGCAAAACTCACTCTCAAAAAAAAAAAAAAAAAGAAAAGAAAGAAAGAAAACAACAAATCTTGGTCAGGCACAGGTGGCTCATGCTTGTAATCCTAGCACTTTGGGAATCCAAGGTGGGTGGATCACTTGAGGCCAGGAATTTCAGACCAGCCTGGGCAACATGATGAAACCGCATCTCTACTAAAATTACAAAAATTAGCCAGGTGTGGTGGTGCATGCCTGTAATCTCAGTTACTCGGAGGCTGAGGCACAAGAATCACTTGTACCTGAGAGGTGGAGGTTGCAGTGAGCCAAGATCGTACCACTGGGCAACAGGGCGAGACTCTGTCTCAAATAAAATAAAATAAAAATATAGTTATTGTTATTATTTCCAGGAAAAAAGGTGGGTAGGAGATGGATGAAATATGATTTGGCTATGTGTTGACAAGTATTTATTACACTATTCTATCTTTGTATGAAATTTTACACAGTGAAAGTTTAAAAACTTGTTAAAGGAATGAATCTGTACTTGGTAGAAACAAAGAAAGTCATGTAGAAAATACTAGTAAATATAGCATTAAAAATAATTAAAATGTACTTCCTTTTCTAAGCCAGGAACTAAAGACCACTGCAGTAATAAAAACTCTTTCTGAGGTTTAAAAATACAGTGTTTTCATTTGGTATATATTTAGCAGTACATGAAACCATTTGTAATAATGTTTAAATATTTTTTACCTTCCAGCATACACCATTTTACACCACCCCTATGGAAATTATTATTACTTATTTAATTAGTTTTAGAGACAGGGTCTCACTCTGTCACCCAGGCTGGAGCACAGTGGCTTGATCACGGCTCAATGCAGCCTTGACTACCTGGGCTCTAGCAATCTTCCTGCCTCAGCCTCGCAAGTAGCTAGGACTGCAGGTACACGCCACCATGCCTGGCTAACTTTTTTTTTTTGAGACGGAGTCTCACTCTGTCGCCCAGGCCGGAGTGCAGTGGCGCTATCTCGGCTCACTGCAAGCTCTGCCTCCCGGGTTCACACCATTCTTCTGCCTCAGCCTCCCAAGTAGCTGGGACTACAGGCACCCGCCACCGTTCCCGGCTAATTTTTTGTATTTTTAGTAGAGACATGGTTTCACCGTGTTAGCCAGGATGGTCTTGATTTCCTGACCTCGGATCCACCGGCCTCAGCCTCCCAAAGTGCTGGGATTACAGGTGTGAGCCACCGCGCCTGGCCAATTTTTTTTATTTTTGTAGAAACAGGGTCTCTACATGCCAGGCTGGTCTCAAACTCCTGATTTCAAGCAATCCTCCTGCCTTGGCCTCCCAAAGTGCTGGGGTTACAGGTGTGGGCCACCACTTCCAGCCTTATTTATTAATTAAGGCAGATCATGAAACTTCTACTGGGCAAAACCTATCTTAGAATTTGGGATAATGAAATACTTAAAAACTGTTTAAAATTCTATAATTCAAACTTTTCACAATGTAATTAGGCCTTTCCTGCTTGAATAAATCCTGGAGTGGTCCAATTTTGAATAGGGAAAGATCAAAACTGAAGGTGCTACTCCAGAAAGGTGGCTCTTTTGTCTTTCATTTTGTCTTTTAAAGAACTGAAAAATTTAGCCAGGCACAGTGGCTCACGCCTGTAATCCTAGCACTTCGGGAGGCCTAGGTGGGTGGACTGCCTGAGCTCAGGAGCTCAAGACCAGCCTGGGCAACATGGCAAAACCCCATCTCTGCTAAAAATACAAACATTAGCCCATCTTGGTGGTGCACACCTATAATCCCAGCTACTCAGAAGGCTGAGGCAGGAGAATCACCTGAACCAGGGAGGGAGAATTTGCACCGAGCTGAAGTCATGCCACTATACTCCAGCCTGGGTGGCAGAGCAAGACTGTCTCAAAAAAAAAAGAAAGAAACATTTAAGCAAAAATTATCTACTTACTTGGGGAACCATTTGGCATGTTCCTTCCAAGGATCATCTCCTTCTTCCCAATTTCCTAAACATCCACCACAGGAAAAACACTGTACCGTGTCCTGTTTACCTATATATGAAGGAAAATATTTAGATTGCCTGGCAGTGGCACCAGGGGGTATGTACACAGAGTTGATTGTTTTGTTCAGGAGCAAGACAAGCTCCAGCGTGGCTGTGCACTCCCGATCTCATTGGCCTGAGTCTCCATCCTCAATCCCACCACCCAAAATGGGCCCCTCCACCACAGCCGTGCTCTAGGTACAGAACCCTAAGCTGTGTAACTCAATATCCTGCCCCAGCTGCCCCCCAGAGCTGGTATGTTGCTCTTTGAGCTCTCAGGGTCAAAGTGATAGGGAAGCCGACTAACACCAGGACCAGCTGAAGTAACGTGCAATTAGAAAACCTACGTTTTAGCCTTGCCATGACATTTCGGTAGAAACATAGGCATGTTTCTTAAAGTCTCTGAGCCTCCATGAACTCAGCTGTGAAATGGGAGAGAAAGGGGTAAATTCATTGGATAAGAATTAGTACTCACTCTATGCCTAGCATAAAGTAGGTACAGTACTCAGTAAATGATCGTTGTTATTGTTAGAACTCTGATTTATATATCATAACCCCTATGGCGGGGCTAGGACAAACAAACAAAACCCTCCAATACTGCAGCAATGAGAAGAATCAAAGAAAGATCATGTAAGAGCAGTAGAAGGAGGGTGGGTGAGGAGACTGGGATCAGGATGACCGCATGAGTTATTTAATCTTTTCAGGACCTTAAGAATACAGCCAGTATTTTCTAAGGTCCAAGTTTAAGGAGACGTAACTTTCTTATTTTATATATATTTGACAAATTAACACAGGCTGTACTAAATAGAAAATGAAGCAAAAATAAAAATATTGATGTTGAATTTTAATAAACTAGACCTTATACCTAATATAACACATTTAACCAGTGAAGAAAGTTTAGCAAAATATTGCAAAAGCAATTGAAAAATAAAACCTAAACTTAAAACGCCAGAGAAACACTTCAGAGAATAATTTCAAGGTACCTGTAAAGACAAAGCCAGCCTCTGAGAGCACACAAGGGGATATCCCTTGGACATAAAATGGCCAGTTCCTGAAGGATGCAAGTCTAGCCTCCTCTTCTTGGTACCTCATTTTACCTCCTCTCAGCCTGCTCTTCAGATTCTTCACCCTTATGTCGTACTTGGCAATGTTACCAACATCCTTGTTCAAAAGGAACCCACAATCTGGATGAAACCTCTTGTGGTCTTCTATGGGGAGTCTCGTGAGGCCGGCACCAAAGAGGATTAGGCTACAGCAGAAGCACTGAATCCCAGATTTTACCCCAGTGAAGTAAAACCCAGCGGCCGCCATCTCCTGTGGTATCCATGAGCTGTACGGCTCATAAGTCACAAAAGTCTTTAACCTTTTTGCTTCACTGCGCATTTGAGAGTTGTAGCCTTTCTGCATTTTTGCTCGCTCCTTCTGCTCCTCTTCTTCTAGTTCCTTTGCCAACTGAACTGCATCTAGGCCCAGAAGAGCAGACAGCTCTGGCAGCAAATTGTGATCAAACTGGGAGATCCTCTCGTCAGAGGCTTTCTGCTGGGTGGCCATTTTCTGAAAAGGAAAATAAAGCAGGTTGATCCCTTATAGTAAGATTTTTCTTAGAAGAGCATTTCCCACTGTTTCCGAAGAAACCAGGAATTAAAGGAATGCCTGGAATTTCAACACAAAAGATAAATTGTTGGAAAATTATGAAACATCAGTATTCATCTACTTAATCAACAAATATTTACTAAGCACCTACTATATATCAGGTACAGTGCTAGACATTGGGGATCTAGCAACCAACAAGACAGACACCCATCTGCCTCCATTCATGAAGCTTTCCAGATATCAGTTATGGACACAATGTGGTAACATGAGCATATACTGAACATTTATATTAAAGAAAAACATAGACAAAATTGTATAGCCTGGCAGCAACAATTTGATCGAATTACTCAGTTTTAAAAAATCATTATTTTGTGTTCATGTTTTAAGTCTCGGTGCTCTGGCCGGGCGCGGTGGCTCACGCCTGTAATCCCAGCACTTTGGGAGGCCGAGGCAGGTGGATCACGAGGTCAGGAGATGGAGAACATCCTGGCTAACAAGGTGAAACCCCATCTCTACTAAAACTACAAAAAAAATTAGCCGGGCGTGGTGGCGGGCGCCTGTAGTCCCAGCTACTCGGGAGGCTGAGGCAGGAGAATGGCGTGAACCCAGGAGGTGGAGCTTGCAGCGAGCCGAGATCGCGCCACGGTACTCCAGCCTGGGTGACAGAGCAAGACTCCGTCTTAAAAAAAAAAAAAAAAAAAGAAGCTCAGTAACAGGCCAATGACTGTTTTTCAAAGGACATATACCTGCCAGAAGCCTCGGGTAACTTTCTAGTGTCAAATCCCCATGACCATCCCTGAGGGGCAGTCACGGGCTTTGGTAAGAAGCTCCATCAGCGTGAGTCGGTTGCTGACATTGCTAACATCATTTGAACACTGAGGTGCTATGGCCCCAAAGTAATCTCTTCGAAGTTCCCAAAAAGTCTCCCATTTGTTCATTTTTCAAAGCCCCATGTAAATTAGCTCCCCATTCCCTCTTAACTTCGAGAATAAGGGTTGATAAAATTCCCAAACATGGTATGTGATTTCTCCAGGAACCAAGAAATTGAACTAATTTTCGTGCCTTTTTCCTCTGTCTTGTAGCTAGCAACTTAATTTTGGTTGTTTGGGAATGTTTCTAGTGGCTCTAGCCCAAGTAATTCCTCCTTTTTTTTTTTTTTTAGACAGTCTCACTCTGTCACCCAGGCTGGAGTGCAGTGGCGTGGCCTCGGCTGACTGCAACCTCCGCCTCCTGGGTTCAAGCAATTCTCCTGCCTCAGCCTCCTGAGTAGCTGGGATTACAGGCACGTGCCACCAATTGCGGCTAATTTCTGTATTTTTAGTAGACACAAGGTTTTGCCATGTTGGCCAGCTTGGTCTCCAACTCCTGACCTCAAGTGATCCGCCTGCCTTGGCTTCCCACTCTTGTCCTTGTCGCCCAGGCTGAAGTGCAGTGGCGCAATCTCAGCTCCCACACCGGGATTACAGACGTGAGCCACCACACCCAGCCTAGCCCAAGTAATTTCTAAGAATTTTACCATTTATTCTAAGCCTTGCATTTTAGCCAGTTAATCATCCCTCCCTGGTGGTTATATGATTAACAAGCACTTCCAATTCAGTCTTAGCTGGATATTTGGATTGAGAGATTAACATTATTATCATCAATATAATAAGACATAGTATTAGCTGGGCGCAGTGGCTCATGCCTGTAATCCCAGCACTTTGGGAGGCTGAGGCGGGCAGATCACCTGAGGTCAGGAGTTCAAGACCAGCCTGGCCCACATGGTGAAACCCCATCTCTACAAAAATAAAAAAAATTAGCCGGGCATGATGGTGGGTGCCTGTAATCCCAGCTACTCAGGAGGCTGAGGCGGGAGAATCAGTTGAACCTGGGAGGCAGAGGTTGCAGTGAGCCAAGATCTCGCCATTGCACTCCAGCCTGGGTGACAGAGTGAGACTCCATCTCAAACAAACAAAAAAAAGATATAGTATTTTCCAGTGCAATCAAATCTAAGTTGTTCCTCATTAGGTTGTAGCAATAAGCAAGATAATTTAAATGTCCTGTGGGAGCAGCTTAAATGTGCATTGGTGGCCTTTCCACACAAATGCAAATTGATTATGATTTTCTCCTGAAATAGGAATCAAAAAGAAAGTAAGTGGCCAAGTGTGGAGGCTCACACCTGTAATCCCAGCATTTTGGGAGGCCAAGGTGGGAGGATTGTTTGTGGCTAGGAGTTTGAGGCCAGTTTAGGCAACTTAGTGAGATCCTTGTCTCTACAAAAAATTTTAAAAATTAGCCAGATGTGTTGGCACATGCCTGTAGTCCCAGCTACTCGGGGAGCAGAGGCAGAAGGATCACTTGAGCCCAAGAATTCAAGGTTACAGTGAGCCACAATTATGCCACTCACTGTACATTTCATGAAATCTCTTTCCTCAACAGCATCCCCATTCAGATGTCACATCCATTCCGATAATATATCAGGGAGAGATGATAACAATTATGCAATTATATTGCATAATTGAATTATATTGAAATATAATCCATCGGGAGCAGTGGCTCATGCCTGTAATCTCAGCACTTTAGGAGGCCGAGGTGGGTGGATCACCTGAGGTCAGGAGTTTGAGACCAGCCTGGCCAACATGGCAAAACCCCATCTCTACTAAAAATACAAAAAAAAAAAAAAAAAAGAAATTAGTCAGGTGTGGTGGCACGTGCTTGTAGTCCCAGCTAGTTGGGGCTGGCTGTGGTGGCTTACACCTATAATCCCAGCACTTTGGGGGGCTGAGGCCAGGAGTTCAAGACTAGCCTTGCCAACATGGTGAAACCCCATCTCTACTAATAATACAAAAAAAATAGCTGGGCATGGTGGCGCATGCCTATAATCTCAGCTACTCGGGAGGCTGAGGCAGGAGAATTGCTTGAACCCACGAGGCAGAGGTTGCAGTGAGCCGAGATCGCACCACTGCACTCCAGCCTAGGCGACAAGAGTGAAACTCCATCTCAAAAAAAGAGAAAGAAATATAATTCACACATCATAAAATTCACCCATTTAAAATGAACAACTGAGGGTGCGGTGACTCATACCTATAACCCCAATGCTCTTGAGGCCAAGGCGGGAGGATTGCTTGAGACCAGGAGTTGAGATCAGCCTGGGCAACATAGCTAGACCCTGTCTCTAAAAAAACTTTTTTTTTAAGAAAACGAAAACTTAGCGGGGCATGGTGGCATGTGCCTGTAGTCCTAACTACGTGGGAGGCTGAGGTGGAAGGATCTCTTGAGCCCAGGAATATGAAGCTGCGGGGAGCTATGATTGCAGTACTATACTCCAGCCTGGACAACAGAGTGAGGCTCTGTCTCTAAAAAAAGTAAATAAAATGTACAGTTCAATAAATATCAGCATATTCATAAACATGCACAACCACCACCACAATCAATTTTAGAACATTTTCATCCCCCCAGAAAGAAACGCTGTGCCCATTAGCAGTTGCTTTCCATGTCCCCCGTTACCCTCCTAGCCCTAGGCAACTACTATGTTACTTTCTGTCTCTATAGATTTGCCTACTGGGGACATTTCATTTAAATTGAATCATACAGTACGTGGTCCTTTGTGTCTGGTTGCTTTCACTTTGCAAAATGTTCATGTTGGTAGAGGTGCTTAAAAAATAAAATAAAAAGAACAACAAAAAAAGGAAGCGAAATTCATCCATGTTGTATTGTTTTAGTACTTCATATTCCTTTTCATTGTCAAATAATATTTCATTATGTGGATATACCACACTTTATTATCACATATACCATATTTTATTCCTCAACCCAGTTGATGGATGTGTGGATTGTTTACGCTTTTTGGCTATTATAAATAGTACCGCTGTGCACATTAGTGTGCAAGTTTTTATATGGACATTTTTCACTTTTTTTTTTTCTTGAGACAGGGTCTTGCTCTGTCACCTAGGCTGGAGTGCAGTGGCTTGATCACCATCCATTGCAGCCTCAACCTCAAGGGCTGAAGCGATCCTCCCACCTCAGCTTCCCAAGCAGCTCGTACGACAGGAGCACACCACCATTTTTTATAGAGACAAGCGTGTTGGGGGTGTTGGTGGGGGGGGTCTCACTATGTTGCCAAGTTGGTCTCAAACCCCTGGGCTCAAGTGATCCTCCCACCTCAGCCTCCTAAAGTGCTGGGATTACAGGCCTGAGCCACCACACCTGGCCCATTTTTCACTCTTAAACTTACAGTTGTATTGTCATACTAAACTAAGTTAATTGCCGTTTAATTTTTTATTAGCAGGTATAACAATACATTATGCACCATGGTCCAACAATGACAATAAAGTTTTTCACCACTCCGGGCATTTTATCCACACCAATGTAAATGTCCTTGGGTCCCATAGCACCAAGAGACTCTGCCACCCTTTTCTTTACATCACACTGCTTTAAAGTGACTGTAGATTCTGCTTTTGCATCATCCTAAAGGTTTATTTGTTTAATTCATCAAGACTAGGATACATTAGAAATCTTGACTGGGCACAGTGGCTCACACCTGTAATCCCAGCACTTTGGGAGGCTAAGGTGGGAGGATTGCTTGAGCCCAGGAATTTGAAACCAGCCTGGGCAACAAAGTGAGATGGAGTCTTGCTCTGTTCACCCAGGCTGGAGTGCAGTGGCACAATTTTGACTCACCGCAACCTCTGCTTCCCAGGTTCAAGCAATTCTCCTGCCTCAGCCTCCTGAGTAGCTGGGATTACAGGCATGTGCCACCATGCCCGGCTAATTTTTTTATTTTTAGTAGAGACAGGGTTTCACCATGTTGGCCAGGCTGGTCTCGAACTCCTGACCTCAGGTGATCCACCCGCCTCGGCCTCCCAATGTGCTAGGATTACAGGTGTGAGCCACCATGCCCAGCCCTTTCCTTTTTTTTTTTTTTTTTTTTATAGGAGACAAGGGCTCACTCTGTTGCCAAGGCTGTAGTACAAGTGCAGTGGCATGATTCTAGCTCACTGCAGCCTCAGATTCCTGGGCTTAAGCAATCCTCTTGCCTCAGCCTCTCAAAGTGCTGGGATTACAGGTGTAAGCCAGGACACCCGGCCTCCTTTCTTTTGAATGATATTAATCTGTTCATCATTCAGCACAATTTGGAGCAAAGGAACTAGTAAGTCTTCAACAGGCTTTCACTTCATCCTGCTCCCCCAGTAGTAGGGTCATACAAAAAGTCTACGAAGGTAGAGGCCCTCTTATCACAGCAACAATCATCACTTAAGTCAAAGACATAAAATTAAGGGATACCTTAGTTTCATCACAGAACCAGTCCAAATGTGTTTGTTTGCATTCTCAACATTTCAGTAACCTCTAGGGAGTATTTCTTCTAACAATTATGGGTGGAATTGGGCAGTTCCCCTTTACAAGATATGTTTTATGTACTGCCACCTTTGTGCAGCTCAACCGATTTGGAATTTGCCCAGCTAACCACATTCCGGCAAAAGCTGCAGCTAATTGAAGATCTTCAACGAATTCAGCTAATTAAGACCAAACACACCCTTTCATTTGAAGGTACATTTGACAGTACCTAATACAAGGAAAAGAGCTCCTTTGTCATTCATGTATATCCAACCCAGCAGTGGTTCTGCAGGAAGCTCTGTCAGTCCACAGGCAACTTCACTCTTGTGTAGTTCCCTGTTTCAGTTGTCTCTTGATGCCCTCCCACTGTAGTTTCGTTGGTGATTATCTACCCGATGAGGGTCACATTCCCATCAGAAGAAATATCTGCCCAACTCCTCTTTGGCATCATGTTCCTTCCCTTTACAGAAGGAAATTGGTGGACTTGGCAACACAGGCTCTTTTTTAGTTACTTTCATTTTTGCCAAAGCAGCCTAACCAGCCAGGGAACTGTATTCTTGGCTGACTTCCTCTGTGTCTGGATTTCTTTTTAAATCTATTTAGCGATTTCCTCTTGCTCTGCATCAACCACCTTCAAGTTCCATTGTCATCCCTTTCTTCCCATTGAGAGTTGTAGCACTTCAGCAAATTCAAACAGGGATTCCCCAGCAACTAGCCTGGCACCAGTGGCTCTAAATCTTTCCCCACTTTTCATCTTTCTCCCAAACAAAGCCTTAGCTATCATTTAAATTATAAAGTAAAAAACTGGGGGGCCAGGCGCAGTGGCTCACACCTGTAATCCCAGAACTTCGGGAGGCTGGGACGGGCGGATCACTTGAGTTCAGGAGTTCAAGACCAGCCTGGCCAACATGGCGAAACCCCATCTCTACTAAAAATACAAACAAATTAGCCGGGCGTGGTGGTGCATGCCTGTAATCCCAGCTACTCGGGTGGCTGAGGCACAAGAACTGTTTGAACCCAGGAGGCAGAGGTTTCAGGCTTCAGTGCCACTGCACTACAGCCTGGGCAACAGTGTGAGACCCTGTCTCGAAAAAAAAAAAGAAAAAAAAAACCTGGGGCCAGGCGCAGTTGCTCACACCTGTAATCCCACCACTTTGGGAGGCCAAGGCAGGCAAATCACTTGAGCCCAGGAGTTCGAGACCAGCCTGGGCAACATGGTAAGACTCCAGCTCTACAAAATAATTTTTTTAAAAGTTAGGCAGCCGTGATGGTGTGCGCCTATAGACCCAGCTACTCGGGAGGCTGAGGTGGGAGGATCTCTTGAGCCCAGGAGGTTGAGGCTATAGTGAGCTGTGATCAAGATACTGCACTCAACTTGGGTGACAGAGTGAGAGAGACCCTGTCTCAAAAACAAAAAAAAAGTAATGATCCTATTCACAGTACCCTCTTCATCAATTACACAGGTTTGGATCATTGAAAAGACTTAGAAGACTCCGCATAGTATCCTCACATAAGGCTTTAATAAAGGTAAAGGATAGATACAAAAAAAAAAAAAACCCAACAAACCAAAAGGCAAGTGAAACACCACACCCAGTTCCTAGGGTCCTTTTGCAGCCACAGAGGATGTGGAAGATGTGCTTCATCTTTAAGCAATGAACCAGCTAGATGATACATGCAAGACACCTTGGTCTCAAGAGAACTGTAACCTCATCTGAGGCTCTTTTATACTCCTCTGATCAGGTAGCCAACACTAGCTTGCATACCAGGGCTCAAAACCAGAAACAAGCTGGTATAGTCAAGCTGGGGCAGTGACATGCACCTGTAATCCCAGCTACTTGGGAGGCTGAAGTGGGAGGATCACTTGAGCCCAGAAGTTCAAAGCCAATGAGATTTCATCTCCAAAAAGAAAGAAAGAAGCAAGAAACAGGCTGCTCCCTGGTCTGTCTCCCACCCCAGCACAGGACTCTATTAATCACTGGCTAGTACATTTCATTTAGGTTTGGCCAAGGAACAGCACCAAGGCTTCAGGCCTCCCCAGAGATAAATGAGTACAGAGTTGCAGCAGACCAGCAGACATTGATCCTGTCTGACACAACGAAGTTTGGTGGTCAATCATGCCAGTCTAGAGGCTGTTTCTGGGGGAGGAGAAGTAATTTCCAAGGCCCTTTCCAGGTCTAATATTCTTTGACTACAGTGCTAAGAGTGCCATTGAGGCAACTGTGCCATGGAGCTAGGATTTAAACCCAAGTCTGTGTGACTCCAGTGTCTGTCCTCTTTCCTCCATACCATCCTGCCTCCAAAGAGAGAAACAATAGCAAGACAAAGAAGGGACCATAGGTTTAGGTGTGGAAGAAAAGCACCTTTGCCAGGGATAGTAATTTACTTACCTGAGGTTTATCCACAGTTCTAGTCTAATAGAGGAGAATGCTGGCCAGTGGAAGGAAAGTATGTGGCTGAAGAACAAATGCTCTGTCCGTCCTTTAGTAGGAAGCAGTGAGAAAATATTTAAGGAACTAAAATGCAAAAAAAAATCGCGCAGTCAGAGACTTTACCAGTAAATGCTCTAAGGTCTTGAGTCAACAGGATTTAATCAGGACCCAAAAGGAGTAATGAAACCTACAGAGTCTCACACCAGAAGTATTTTATTCTAGTTTTTTTGTTTCTGTTGTTTTTGAGACAGTGTCTCACTCTGTCGCCCAGGCTGGAGTACAGTGGCACGATCCTAGCTCACTGCAGCCTCAAGCTTCCAGGCTGAAGCGATCCTCCCATCTCGACCTCCCAAAGTGCTAGGATTATAGGCATGAACCACCACATCCGGCCTTTATTCTAGTTTGTTAAGATTGGTTAATAGTTAAGGTGCTAGTGTCTTATTTCTGTTATAGTAACAGTTTCTATCTTTCTGGTAGCTTTTAGGATCTTTTCTCCTAAGTGTAGACCTCTCTACATTCATTGGGCTGGGTATTCAATGGGCATTTTCAATCTGAGCTCTTGGGTCTCCCATCAAGCCTGGGAAATTACCTTCTATTATTTATTTGATAACTTCCTACTGTCTGTTACTCTCTTTTTACTCTTTTGGTATTCCCACTATTCAGGTGAGTAATTAATTGATCACTTATTTTTTTTTCATATATTCTTTTCCTACTTTCTAAGGGTCTCGCTCTGTCATCCAGGCTGGAGTGCAATGGCACAATCACAGCTCACTGCAGCCACCACCTCCTGGACTCAAGTGATCCTCCCACCTAGCCTCCCAAGTTTTGGGACTACAGACGTGTGCTACCATGCACAGCTGATTTTATATTTTATTTTGTGTAGAGATGGGGGTCTCACCTTGTTGCCCAGGCTGGTCTCAAACTCCCGGGCTCAAGTGATCTGCCGGCCTCAGCCTCCCAAAATGCTGGGATGACAGGTGTGAGCCACCGCACCCAGCTGTCCTCTCCTTTATATTCCGGCTCTCCAATCTAGTTTAAAATTTCAGCAATTATAATTTCCCACAGCTCTTTCTTTTCTCTGTGCCTTATTTTCATAGTGTCAATTTTTTTAACCAGTGCCATCTTCCTGAATCTGCTGTACGATACTAATGTTTAAGTTCCTGTTTCCTGAATTATGTTTCCTCAAAGGTTTTTACCACTTACCTTGGTGTTTACTTTTCATATTATCAACTTTCCTCAAATGTGTAGTGATCCTGGGTTTTCAACTCATGTTTAAAAATTAAGTCATTTAAAAACACATTGGTCAAACTAATCATTAAAAAATCAGGAGCCACAGGAGTGGGACTTGAACCTGAGCCTTTCACTCTATGGAGAACAAGAATTACCCTAATGTCAGAATGTCAGAGAAAGATTTCAGAAAATGATTTCAAGTTACTTGGGGTTTTTTTTGTTTTGTTTTGTTTTTGGAGATGGGGTCTCACTTTGTCACCCAGACTGGAGTGCAGTGGCACAATCTCGGTTCACTGCAGCCTCTACCTCCCAGGCTCAAGTGATCCTCTCATCTCAGCCCCACAATAGCTGGGACTACAGGCATGCACCACCACACCTGGCTAATTTTTGTATTTCTAGTAGAGACAGGGTTTCGCCATGTTGCCCAAGCTGGTCTTGAACTCTTGACCTCAAGCCATTTGCCCACCTCAGTCCCCCAAAATGCTGGGATTACAGTCATGAGCCACTGGGCCTGGCCCGTTACTTGTAAAGACAAAGCTAGCAGCCGAAAACTTACTTGGAACGTTCCTTGGACATAAAATCACCATTTCTTAAAAGGATTCTTAGTTTTGGGGTGCCAGTGCCCACACTGGTTCTCTAGGTCAGCTAAGAGAAAGCAATGTGTTCAATTTTGGGGGGAGCAGGGAAGACTCCTGTAATTTTTTGCCCCAGGGTAAACACTTGTGTGTCAAATATTCTGATCATGGGGTAGAGAGAGCTGACTGTCCCGTGCACGGGCTTCCAATTAGTCCCTCAATTTTCAGCCCTTCATGTCACTCCAGCCCTCCTTCCTATCTGGCATCCTGTGTCCGCAGTTACTCCAAGCTTCTCCATAGGGCAGATAGTCTCTCATAGGAGACTCCATATTCAGGAAGCGGTTTCCTTGAGCTGCTTCCTTCCTGACTACTAGTCCATATAGTTTCTACTTTCCAAGAATGTGTTAAAATATTCTATGTGCTACTGGTCCCATTTCTGTTCTATTTTATTTTTTTTTACCTTTAAACTCTGTTGGACTTGACATTCTTGTTTTCTTAATTTTCCTGGGTTTATACTTTTAAGAATCAGTAATATTGTGTATTTATTACCAAAAACATGAACTAAAATTTACATAGAGCCTATCAAGGAAAAACCATTTCTCTACTCACATTTCTGACATCAAATATATGGGTTTTCCACCAACCAATTCTCCAATTCTCCACAGACAGCAGCTGAGTGTCTTACAATTTTACTCAATTCTGATGCTAATTAACCAGAGTTAGTGCAGACCCCACGGGTTAGGGGCTCAGCCCCCAAGACTGCCCCCTACTTCAGATGCCAGCCACAACTATTAGGACCTCAGGGTACCCACACTTCTGTCTGAGTTCACTACAAATCATGGGTATCTGCAACCCCCTCAGGTTCGATAATTTCTTTCTTGGGGGTTGGGGGAGTTTAGGAGCAGAGGTTTAATAGGCAAAAGAAAGAAAAACGAGAACAGATCTCTCCCTTGTGAGGGGCTTCCGAAAGGAAAATCCGGCCTGCGGTGGACTGCACCAGATTTTATAGGTAGGCCTGAGGAGGCGGCGTCTGATTTGCGCAGAGCCCACAGGTTGGTTTGAACAGGTGTGACGTTTACATAGCACGCGGGGAAGGTTGGGCGCCCCACCCTAATCTTACTGTGACAAAGGGCAGAGTGACCTTGACATGCCATGTGCTTTCCAGAACAAGGGCAGAGAGTGACGCTCACTGTGGTGGGAGAGGAGACCCTCTGTTCCTAGAAAATCACAACAGCATGCCCCTGTGCTATATCCCTGGTTACTACAGCAGTCTTTGTTCTTGCCTAACAAGATTACTTCCCTGAACTGTAAAACTCCCTCAGTACTGCATACAGAGAGAGGTTAGGAGACATGGTGGTCGTGGATAGGAAATGAGGGAATTATGATAGGAAAGTTGGAGGTCCTGTTGCCGACACCCCTTAGGGTGGTCGGAGGCTGGGGTCAGTCCAGAAGCCTTCGGATGGCACCAGGAGGTAGCCCCAGCCAGAAATCCTCAGTTGCTCCAGGACCTCTTCCAGCCCCACACGACAGCTTGGTCCTCCGTGAAAGGAAACTGGTTCAAACATGGCCAATATGCCCAGCAGCCCGTGGGTATTGGGGGGTTCTCCATGTTCTCCCCAGCAAGCCTGTCCCCCAAAACTTGTAAGGCTGGCAGCCACGCTCATAATTTTTAAATGGCTAATTGGTGAAGGCAGAGTTTTCTCATTCACAGAAGCAGAAGGGGGCCCAGTATTTGGTTTGGTTTGATTCTAAAATGGAGGCCAAGAGCCTCGAAATCAAAGGACAGAGTTGAGGTCCGCCCCTTTACTCACCTTTGCAATGAATGCACCTTGGAATCCCAGACGAAGTCCCCAATATGAAGTGGCATTGTTGTCTGGGGTCAATACCCGGGGTTCGTCGTCTCGCACCAACAAGGTTAAGGACACGATACACACGAAGAGTGGGTTTAGGAGCGGAGGTTTAACACGCAAAAGAAAAAGGAGAACAGCTCTCTCCCTTGTGAGAGAGAGCGGCTTCCGAAAGGAAAATCCCAGGTTCGATCGTTTCTTATAATGGCTCACAGAACTCAGAAACTTTACTTATGTTTACTGCTTTATTATAAAGGATACAGATGAACAGGCAGTCGAAGAGGTACACAGGGCAACGTCCAGAAGGGTCCCAGGTGAGCACAGGACCTTTTGTCTTCATGCAGTTTGAGGTGCATCGCCTTCTTGGTATGTGGTTGGGGTTAACCAAACCGAAAGCTCTCCAAACCTGTGGTTTATTTTTTAATGGAGGTGCCATCACTTAGGCATGATTGGCTAAATCACTGGCAATTGGTGGTTAATCAATCGCCAGCCCTTTTACCCTCTCTGGAGGTCGAGGCGTGGGGCTGCAAATCCCAGACCTCTAATCATGCCTTAGTCTTTCAGGGGATAGCCCCCATCCTGAAGTTGTCTAAAGGATCCCAGCCACCAGTTAGCTCACTGTCATACACTCTTATCACTTGGAGATTCCAAAGGTCTTAGAAGCTCTTGTGTCAGGAACCAAGACCAAGTATTCTAATAAAAGATGTTTCTATCACCCCTGTCACTCAGGAAATTACAAGGGTTTCTGGAGATCTGTGCCAGGAACTGGATGAAGATCAAATATATATATTTATTATATCACAATATTGCAGCCTACTACTTGCCAGGCACAATTCTAAGCACTTTACATGTGTCCACTTAATTCCTTTAACAGTCCAAAATCAGCTATTGCTATATCATCTCCATATTACAGATAAGGAAACTCAAGCACATAGGGGTTAAGGTTAACCAGTGATCTGGCTAGTCTGTACTTTTACCTGATGTTGTGCTGCCATACAGACTAGATTTTTTTTTTTTTTTTTAGACTGAGTCTTGCTCTGTTGCCAGGCTGGAGTGCAATGGCGTGATCTCAGCTCACTGCAAACCCCGCCTCCCGGGTTCAAGTGATTCTCCTTCCTCAGCCTCCCCAGCAGCTGGGACTACAGGCACATGCCACCTCGCCCAGCTAATTTTTGTATTTTCAGTAGAGACAGGGTTTCACCATGTTGACCAGGATGGTCTCGATCTCTTGACCTCGTGATCCGCCCACTTCAGCCTCACCAAATGCTGGGATTACAGGCGTGAACCACAGCACCCAGCCAAGACTAGATTTTTAAGAAAAGGCAATCCAGATGTCCTAGAAGGTTCATTTCCTCTTTTTGGTGGTTTAGCAAATTTCTTAGTAAGGCTTCTAGCTGTTATAGCAGCATTAGTATGTGAACCACAGTTAAGCTCTAGTCCAACAAGGCCATTTCTTCAGCAGAGAAGCAATTGTTAAATAATCGACCAAGTATTCATTGGCTCCCTCTTTTTGTATCAACATACACAATTGTTACAGTGCCAGTGTTTATTGGAACCACTTTCCATGGTGCATCCAGCTGTGCCTAGACCAGCAGGTCTTTTTCCAGAAGTCCAGATGGCAGGGGAACCTCTTCACGTTGTTGACCCTTCTCCCTGTAATTTTTTCCCCAATAAACCTTTTCATTATGTTGCTGTATTTATACCCAAATACACATTACATTTATTTTAGTACCTTGTACATTTTGTTGCCCTTATAAATTGGAGGGGTTTTAAAAACTATTTTTTATTCTCAATATTCATTGATGATGTATAGGACTCCTTCTGGACTGTTTAATATATGACTGTAAATCCCCCTGAATTTTCTTAGATGTTTGTAGTATCTGATTATGACAGTTTTGTCTTTTATTTATTGCCTTGTTGCATTGATTAGGTCCTCTAATATAATGTTGCTTAATAATGAAGATAGATATCCTATCTTATTCTTGACTTTTGGTATAAATTCTTCTAAAGTTTGAGCATTAAACATGATGTTTGTTGTAGATTCTTAGTGGATACTCTTTAGCAGTTAAAGTAACTTCTCTTTTACTTCCAGTGACACTACTACCTAATTTGAAGAGAGGATTTGGAATTTTGAGTTTCAAAATAATACTGTTTTCAAACACTTTTTTAGCTAAAAAGTACACACACATAGGGCAGTGTTTTAAAGTTTAGCTACTTCAGGGCATATGTGTATACTCACTGAAGTTTTAATTTAATGGCTTATTGGTCATTCATGTATCTTCTTTGGTAAGGTAATTAAATTTTTTTCTTTTTTTTTAAAAGACAGAGTCTCGCTCTGTCGCCCAGGCTGGAGTGCAGTGGCACAATCTCAGCTCACTGCAACCTCCGCCTCCTGGGTTCAAGCGATTCCCCTGCCTCAGCCTCCCGAGTAGCTGGGATTACAGGCGCCCACCACCACGCCCAGCTAATTTTTGTATTTTTAGTAGAGACAGGGTTTCACCATGTTAGCCAGGCTGGTCTCGAACCCCTGACCTCGTGATCCACCCACCTCGGCCTCCCAAAGTGCTGAGATTACAGGTGTGAGCCACTGCACCTGGCCGTAATTAAATTCTTGACCCATTTAAAAAGTGCGTGTTTTCCTTTTTATTACTAAATTATAAGGATTCTTTATATATTTTGCATACTAGTCCTTTGTTAGATATTTACATTGCACATATATTCTCTCAGTCTGTTAACCATCTTTTCATTTTCTTAATGGTGTCTTTCAAAAAGAAGTTTTTAATTTTGATGAAGTCCAATTTTAATTTTTGTTATGATTGATAGTTTTTGTGTCCTAAGAAATCACTATCTACTCTAAAGTTGTGAAGATATTCTAAAAGTTAACATTTGTATTGTACAATATCAACTGTTAGTTGAGGATATGGAGCAACTGGAAGCTCATACATTAGTTGTGGGAATGTAAAATGGTATTAATACAATGTCTTTGGAAAAACAGTTCACTGGTGTCATGGAAAGCTAAGTATACTCTTGCCATACAATCTAGCAATTCCATTCCTACATATTTACCCAAGAAAAATGAAAACACATGAACACACAAAGATTTATACAATAATGTTCATAGCAACTTTATTCATAATAATAACCAAAAAATCAGAAACAACCCAATGTCCATTGGGGATAAACACATGGATAAACAACGTATCCATAAATGAAGTACAGGTGGTAAAAAGAAGCAAAGTATTGATATATGCAACAAATGAATAAGCTCAAAAACATTATGCTAAGCAAAAGAAGCCATACATATCATTTAATTTTTAAAAATTGTATATAACAGACAAATCTCATCTACAGTGACAGAAAACAGATCAATGTCACCGGCCGCTGGAACTCCTAGGGAGTACTCACTGCAAAGGAGCCCTTCTGGAGTGATGAAGATGTTCTCTCTCGATTGTGGTGGTCGTGGCATGGGTACAGAACACTTGTCAAAAGGCATGGAATTACTCAAGATGGGAGCATTTTTACTGTATGTTAATTATAACTCAATAAAATTGATTTTTTAAAATTCTAAATACATATATAAATACATTAATGTTTACAGAGCATTAAGAGAAGTGAAAAAGGTCGGGCGCAGTGGCTCACGCCTGTAATCCCAGCACTTTGGGAGGCCGAGGCGGGCGGATCACGAGGTCAGGAGATCGAGACCATCCTGGCTAACACGGTGAAACCCCGTCTCTACTAAAAATACAAAAAAACAATTAGCCGGGCGTGGTGGCGGGCACCTGTAGTCCCAGCTACTCGGGAGGCTGAGGCAGGAGAATGGTGTGAACCCGGGAGGCAGAAATTGCAGTGTGAGCCGAGATCGCGCCACTGCACTCCAGCCTGGGTGACAGAGCGAGACTCTGTCTCAAAAAAAAAAAAAAAAACAAAACAAAAGAGAGAAGTGAAAAAATAATTCCATGTTTGAGATTTGTTTTTTTTGTTTGTTTGTTTTCAGACGGAGTCTTGCTCTGTCACCCAGGCTGGAGTGCAGTGGCGCGATCTCGGCTCACTGCAATTTCTGCCTCCCGGGTTCACGCCATTCTCCTGCCTCAGCCTCCCGAGTAGCTGGGACTACAGGCGCCCGCCACCACGCCCGGCTAATTTTTTGTATTTTTAGTAGAGACGGGGTTTCACCGTGTTAGCCAGGATGGTCTCGATCTCCTGACCTCGTGATCCGCCCGCCTCGGCCTCCCAAAGTGCTGGGATTACAGGCGTGAGCCACCGCGCCCGGCCGAGATTTGTTTGTTTATAAAGTTACCTGAATTTGTTTTTTAAGTTTAGTAGAATTCTTTTATCAGGACCTGTTTTTAAGTTACCTATGTACCTCTCTAAATGGGATTACAGGCAGTAGCTCTCACACTTCAACATTTATGGTAACCACCTGGAGGATTTGTTAAAGCGGACTGCTAGACCCATCCTCAGAGTTTCTGATTCAACAGGCCTGTGATGGGGCTCAAGAATTTGCTTTTTTTTTTTTTTTTGAGATGGAGTCTCATTCTGTTGCCCAGGCTGCAGTGCAGTGGTGCGATCTTGGCTCACAGCAACCTCCGCCTCCTGGATTCAAGTGATTCTCCTGCCTCATCCTCCTGAGTAGCTGGGATTACAGATGCCCTTCACCACGGCCGGCTAATTTTTGTATTTTTAGTAGAGACAGGGTTTCACCATGTTGGTCAAGCTGGTCTCGAACTCGTGACCTCGTGATCTACCCACCTCAGCCTCCCAAAGTGCTGGGATTACAGGCATGAGGCACCGCGCCTGGCCAAGAATTTGCATTTCTAATGACTTCTTGGGTGATGCTAATGCTACTTACTGGTCCAAACACTACATTTAGAGTCACTGACTGTAGAGATCCTTAAAAGATCCCTATTCCTCCAAAGAGTCAATTCTTAATGCTTAAAACTTGAACTAGGCTGGGTACAGTGGCTAACGTCTGTAATCCCAGCACTTTGGAAGGCCTAGGAGAGAGGATCATTTGAGGCCAGGAGTTGACACGAGCCTGGACAGCACAGCAAGAGTCCATCTCTTAAAAAAAAAATTCAGCCAGGCATGGTGGTGCACACCTGTAGTCCTAGCTACTTGAGAAGCTGAATTGGGAGGATCACTTGTGCCCAGGAATTCAAGGCTGCAGTGAGTTGATTGTGCCATTGCACTCCAGCCTGAGAGACAGAGTGATACTGCCTCAAAAAAATAAAAATTTAAATTTAAAACAGAAACACAAAAAACCTAAATTATCCCCTAAGGCTGGCCACGGTGGCTCACACCTGTAATCCCAGCACTTTGGAAGGCCAAGGTGGGTGGATCACTTGAGGTCAGGAGTTCCGAGACCAGCCTGGTCAACATGGTGTGAAACCACGTCACTACTAAAAATACAAAAATCAGCCAGGCATGGTGGCACATGACTGTAGTCCCAGCTACTCGGGAGGCTGAGGCAGGAGAATCACTTGAACCCGGGAGGCAGATGTTGCAGTGATCCAAGATCATGCCACTGCACTCTAGCCTGGTTGACAGAGCAAGACTCTGTCACAAAAACAAAAACAAAAAGTAAATAAATTACCCCCTAGGAGGAGTATATCCCAGGAAAGTGTAACACCTGAAACTTAAAAGATTATCTGCCCTGATGATAAACGATAGAAAAGAGACAGGCCAGGCCAAAGTTTGTCAACTGGTGGACTGAAGATAAGTTTTATTTAGCCTCTGTGTTTTTCTAAATTAGAGGCTAACATCTCAAACTTGGGAGAATTCACTTTAAAAATCCAGTTTTTACGGCTGGGCATGGTGGCTCACGCTTGTGATTCCAATACTTTGGAAGACTGAGGTGTGCAGATTACTTAAGCTCAGGAGTTCAAGACCAGCCTAGGCAACATAGGAAGACACTGTCTCTACAAAAAAAAACTTTTTAAAAATTAGCCAGGCACAATGGCACACACCTGTGGTCCCAGCTACTAGGGAGTCTGAAGTGGGACCATCACTTGAGTCTGGAAGGTCGAGACTGCAGTGAGCCATGATTGCACCAATGCACTCCAGCCTGGGGAACAGAGCAAGGCTTTGTCTCAAAAAAAAAAAAAAAAAAAAAAAAAAAAAAAAAAAAAAAAAAAAAATCCAGATTTAGTTTCTCTTTAAGTATCATTCCCAGAAGAAAAAAATAGGCTGGGGCCAAATAATGGTTACCTCACTTTATTTTTACATTTTTTTGAATTAAGTAACAAAATTTAAAAAATACAAAAGGATGTACAGTGAAAAGTACATCTCCCTTCTATCCCTGATCCCCAGACTCTCAGAGGCTGCCTCCTTTAGATGGGGCGGGTGCTTTCCAGATGTCCCCACTCTGCATCAACTGGCCCTCTTTCACTTATCTGCATTGTCTGCCTGACCCCTTTAGACATCTGAGCTGCCTCCCAACCCATTTTACCACGCCTCTCCTGCATCCCCTTAACACTTGGCATGTCTGTCGTTAGCACTTTCACACAAGCTTCTTTACAAGGCTGTGTCTTTTTAGATGGGGAGATTCACAGATGCATGAGGTTAGGTTTACATCTTCTTTTGACTATCTACATCCCTGATAACTAGGATGGTGTCAGACTTATGGCAGATGTACAAGTTTGTTGAGTGAATTAATAAATTAATGAATGGGCAAATTGTGTATTGTTTCCAGGGTCCTGAGGTGTGACGCAAATAGCAATTCAGTCAGGTGAAATCAATAATTTAGATCCCATCAGGATCCCAGCCGAGTCCCCAGTCCATCTTGTAACACTTCTCCCCAGAACATACTTAAATTACCTGGAAATAATGAATCCTCTGCCCTTACAGAACTGGATCCAAAGCAGGCACTAGGGCACTCTAAGACTACTTCTCAGAAGTGTGACAACCTCCTGTACCCTTTTTCTCCTTACTACAGGGCCCAAGGACTGAAACTTCTTACCTTTTCTCCTAAACTCTGCCACCCACTAATGGCCTCAGGACTGGGATTCCACTAACCCACTCCCCAAGGGCTGATTGCACCCTTTCTTTGTCACCACTCATGAAATCATTTCATGCTATGAATTGGCCAACCGTTCTAGAGATATAGCTGAACACAAACATGACCAGAAACATGAGGAAGTTATAAAGTATTGAGAAATCCTTCTAGAAGTAGATGCAATGCCACACCACTGAGCACGAGATCTGGCTTCCTGAGCAGTTACCAAAGGACGAGATGACACAGCCCTGTGGGCAAACTAGGATCAACGGGAAATGGAAGAACTTAGGAAACTAAGTTACTTCTCCTTCCTCCCTTCAATGGACTGCTCAGAGGGGCAGTTTCTCCTTATAAACCTTCTGGAGAAGCCCCACACTCTAAGTGAACACACTTGCTGGAAGGCTCCTGTATCTCGTCACAGCTTGTCATGAAGCCTGGTCACTGCAGTAACACAATGCATCACGTTTTTCCTTGCTTTGCTTTCCCTTTTCTTCCACACTCTCACCCCCCTAGATCTGTCCCTCCCTAATAAAGTAACAATACTTTCATCTTTGCCTCAGGTTCTACTTCCTAGGGGACCTAAGTTAAGAAATTCTTGTTGTTGACCAGGCGTGGTGGCTCACGCCTGTAATCCCAGCACTTTGGGAGGCCAAGGCAGATGGATCATGAGGTCAGGAGATCGAGACCATCCTGGCTAACACAGTGAAACCCCGTCTCCAGTAAAAATACAAAAAATTAGCCAGGCGTGGTGGCAGGCACCTGCAGTCCCAGCTACTCGGGAGGCTGAGGCAGGAGAATGGCATGAACCCGGGAGGTGGAGCTTGCAGTGAGCTGAGATCGCGCCACTGCACTCCAGCCTGGGCGACAGAGCGAGACTCTGTCTCAAAAAAAAAAAAAAAAATTCTTCTTGTTGTAATTTATTGTTGTTGCAATTTTTGTTTGTTGTAATTTCTAGGGTAACCACTGAAAGAATAAAAACAAAGTATACAATTTTCAAACTAGTGACGAAAAACATAGAATGGTAGAAAGTAAGTAATCAAAAAGAAGGCAAGAAGGAAAAGATCGTATCAAATATGTAGTTAAAAAAATTTAAAAAAACGAAAGATGGAATTGTTGGAACCAATAACACAAAGATAATAGACTTAAACCCAAATATATCAGTGGTAATCTTTTAATAAATATTTATATTTATTAGATATATTTATATATTTTAATATATAATATATTAAAATATATATTATATATAAATATATATAAATATATAAATATAAATATAAATAATATATTTATAAATATAATATTTATAATAAATAAAATATATCAGTGGTAATCTTTTAATAAGTAAATATATTTATTAAATATAAAAGGTACACAGTAAATATAAATGAACTAAATGCTTTAGTTAAAAGACAATAAAAATTATGAAATAAAAATGTATACACTTGAAAGTATTTAAAATAAATCTAATTTTCATAATGAATTTTAAGCATTAAGGAGTTTTGTAACTGAATAGTGGAACTCAGAAAGACATCCTATTCAGAAGGATCTCTCATGATAATAGTTTCCTTCACTATTGTAGTATACTGTAGAGTTTCAAGAAAAAAATTAAAGGCCAAAACTGTCTTACATTACCATTGCTGTTTCTGCAATCTTCAACAAACCAAAATTTTCTCTGTAATTGTGAAAAAAGAACTCCTCCTTAAGCATAACTAAAATTTTGCCTTAACCTTATCAAATACCCAAAACTGTAGAAAGAGATAAAGCTGTTAATAGAGACATGGGTATCCCTTTTTATCAGGTCAGGAGGGTAAGTCTCTAATAGAGAGTTCTAGTAACTTCTCAAAAGGTAACTAATGAAGGCCTTCCTTCTAAACCAGATAGGGGGAGATAGAATGCTCTGAGTATTAAAGGCATCTCCTGCAAGCCACTGATACCTTTGTTGACAGAGCACACAGAAGAAAATAGCAGTTACCAGGTTACCTATAGGTGAAATTTGTTTCCACATAAAGAACCACTGGGTCCAGGCTCATGGAGTATGACTCCTGAGAGAAACTCCCGTTACTCTGATCAGTGTGTGTGTGTGTGTGTGTGTGTGTGTGTGTGTGTGTGTATTAAAAATGAATATTCCTGGGCTCCCAATAAACTCTCCAGGGTGGGATTACGTTGTCTTTACTGATAATGTTCTTAACTAAAAATTCTTAGTTATAAAATCACAAATTTCGGCCGGGCACGGTGGCGGAGGTGGGTGGATGACCTGAGGTCAGGAGTTGGAGATCAGACTGATCAACAAGGTGAAACCCCGTCTCTACCAAAAATGCAAAAATTAGCCAGGCGTGGTGGCAGGCGCCTGTAGTCCCAGCTACTCAGGAGGCTGAGACAGGAGAATGGCTTGAGCCTGGGAGGCGGAGGTTGCAGTGAGCCAACAGCAGGCCACTGCACTCCAGCCTGGGCGATGGAGCAAGACTCCATCTCAAAAAAAAAAAAAAAAAATCACAAATTTCATAGTGAAACTCAAGTTAGAGTACCTGAAGTTTATATACATAAAATAGACATACCTTTGCTATGAAAGCCTGATTTACTCTTTTTTTTTTTTTTTTTCTTGAGACAGAGTCTAGCTCTGTCGCCCAGGCTGGAGTGCAGTGGAGCGATCTCGGTTCACTGCAAGCTCCGCCTCCTGGGTTCACACCATTCTCCTGCCCCAGCCTTCCGAATAGCTGGGACTACAGGCGCCCGCCACCAGGCCCAGCTAATTTTTTGTATGTTTAGTAGAGACGGGGTTTCACCGTGTTAGCCAGGATGGTCTCGATCTCCTGACCTCGTGATCTGCCCGCCTCGGCCTCCCAAAGTGCTAGGATTACAGGCGTGAGCCACCGCGCCCGGCTGAAAGCCTGATTTACTCTTAACTGGATATAACCAGAAAGAGTTCTGCCCACAATGATATATCTGCATTGAATCTAAAACACAGACTTCATCATACATTCTCACCTAAATTTCTCTGATGACCCAGAGTAAGGCAAAAGGTTTAGCATATGAGAGTGAAAGGATTTGAATCTCACTTTCTGTCAAACTTTAGAGCTCTGTTAACCATGGTTAGTATCAACTATGATTTTAGGCAACTTTGCTTATAGTAAAAATAACTCGTTAATTGTTACGTATCTGGATTGGGATGCACTATAAATAAATGGAGTCTTCAAGCTTTAGGCTTTCCTGAGTGTAGTGACTCTTGAAATTGACACATCCCTTGTGGATACCTGGAAGCTGTGTTTATGGAATTGTTAAGAGATATTGGTTCCTTGATGCCTGTGGAGGATCTTATCTCCTTGCACCCAAATTGTACTAGTGGACTGCTACAAGGACTTCCACTGCTAATGAGGACTGCTTGATGCTGTGCTGGCAGGCTGTTGTTTCTGTTTAATATCCTTCTGAGTAAGCGGGTACCAAGTATGGCCATGGCAGTCTTGTGAGTTTGAATGTTTAATGTAAAGTGACTTCTGTTGGTCATAGCCACAAATAATTTCAGATGTACTAACTTGATAAACATATTCCAGATGTTTGGTTAAACCTAAAAAGACCTCTCTGGTGGATGTAGCAGTACATCATTTCATATGTATTAATTTCATAACTTTTTTTTTTTTTGAGAGGGAGTCTCACTCTAGGGTGGAGTGCAGTGGCACAATCTCGGCTCCCTGCAACCTCCGCCTCCTGGGTTCAAGCGATTCTCCTGCCTCAGCCTCCCAAGTAGCTGGGACTCCAGGCGTGAACCACCATGCCCGGCTAATTATTTTTTGTATTTTTAGTAGTGACGGGGTTTCACCATGTTGGCCAGGCTGGTCTCGAACTCCTGACCTCAAGTGATCTGCCCACCTCAGCCTCCCAAAGTGTTGGGATTACAGGTGTGAGCCACAGCGCCCAGCCTAATTTCATAAGTATTGATAAATTTTCATCTTACACTGAATTTACATTCAGACTTAACTTTCTTCTTACACTAAATTAATGAATTAACATAAATCATAAAGATTCTATATTTAATTATAAAAACATAAAATTATCACATCAATTTAATTCTTATAAGTTTATACATACTGCATAATGACTTTGAAAACAGTATAACTCAAAATAATAGAAAACAAAATTAATTGAATGAAGTACTACTGAATTTCAGGTATTTCTGTGACAACACAAATTTAAAATTTAATAAAATATTACCTTTTCTTAGCAAAAAGTTTCTTAAGTCAGATTATCCTTTCATGTTTTAAATGAAGCTTCTTCTAAAGAAGTCCTTTTATTCACAGTTGCAAATTTCTTTTTAACACATACAATGTATACTACATGCTGGAATCAAACACCTGAAGGAGCTGGAATCTTATGAATACAGCCAGGGCAACAGTGTAGAGAATCATGAACAAAAACATCACAGTCCACACAGAAAACATTTTGGCACACAGCACAAACATAAACCTGTAGTGAAAAGAAGAAAAGTGATAAACTAGTTTCCAAAAGTTAATTACAGCACAGCTAGATGACATTCAAGGTGTGCTTTGCTCTTTTATATCTCTACCAATTTTTTCCCACTACCTACTTTATTACTTCCAATGTACTCTATATTCTCAAATCTAAGGCAATTAATTTTTTCCCCAAAACTATCCCTTAGAAATGAGGGAATGGTTTTGTTTTTGAGTCTTTAAAGTCTATTCTATTACAGTTCGCTCTCAATTATTTCATTCTAAGGTTTAGGAAAGACATATGAGCTTCAAACCAGCGCTACTTTTGAATGCTTAGCAAGACCACCTGATTGATTCAATTAAAAAGAGAAGCATAAAAATTTAACATCGATTTAATTATTCTTAGGGAATGACCTCACAATTGCAAACATATTTCCCTTTCAAGTAAACCTTTAAAAAAATATGTCAAATGACACAGATAAGACAAGCAGAAAGGAAAAAACTACATTTGTTCTTTCAGCATTACATATATGAGTACTTGCTCCTTGGGATAAAATTTCCAGGGCAGCTTCATACACAGATTCAAAAATCACTAAATCTCAGAAGTATTTGGCTTTGAATAAAAAAAAAAAGAAAGAATGAATAAATAAATTTCAAACAACACAGACAATGACCTATTCTTAAAAACTCAAATGAGGCCGGGTGTAGTGACTCACGCCTGTAATCCCAGCACTTTGGGAGGCCAAGGCGGGTGGATTGCTTGAGCCCAGGAGTTCAAGACCAGCTGGTCAACATGGTGAAACCCAGTCTCTACTAAAAATACAAAAATTGGCTGGGCATGGTGGTGCACGCCTATAATCCCAGCTGCTTGGGAGGCTAGGCATGAGAATCACTTGAACTTGGGAGGCAGAGGTTGCAGTGAGCCAAGATTGCATCACTGCACTACAACCTGGGTGACAGAGCAAGAGTCTGTCTCAGAAAATAAAACCAAAAAACTGTCAAATGATTCAAAAAGTGGTTCCAGTTAAGAGTAAACTACTGATGTCAAAGAGGTATATAAAATTTAATAAAATTACTTTATAAATTGTGACAGTGGAAGAGCAATACTTCTAATTATTATTTTATATAATATATATAGTTTTAAATATGAACATGTAACTAAATTAAAAATTAAAGCTAGACAGTGATCCATATTATTTACATCTATACAAATTTATTTATTAAAGTTGGCCCTCTTCAAAATTTAAAAAAGTATTTTCTCATTGGCATAATGGAAGAATCACCTATTATCTGTGGCCACCTTAAACAATTTCAATGTGTTATCACACAGCTTAAAGTATAATATGAAGAAAATATTTTAAATACTTTCAGACTAAATGCAGTTTAGCTTGAAAGCTAAAGACAAATTACATGTTTTACAAGGGTGTACCAAAGTAGACAAAACAATCAAAGAATTTAAAAAAAGAGGAAAAAAATTAAAAAATTTTTAATAAAAAGTTTTAAAAAGATGAATTACAAAATACTTTATAGCAAAAATTAGAATGCAGAATAACAAAACTACTATTTAAACTATTTTGTTCCTATTTTACCTTCACCTATTGTCATTATCTTTACAAGAAATAAACTGATATGAGCCTGGTCTTTAACAACCTGTTGAAAACTTATAGTACCATTGATTTCAATATTTCTTGTACATTACTTAATATTTAGAAAGCCAAAGAACTTACATGTTGGTCTTTCAATTCCCCCTGACATCCATAACAAAATCTGAAAAAAAAGTTTAACAATGTTTTTTCTTAGAATTTACTCATTAAAATAGTTCAACAAAATCTCACTAACTAGAATCCTTTAATTAATATGTACTTGTCTTTACACATGACTTTCAGGAAAAAGAGTTAAGAATACCAATAGGCCAGGCACAGTGGCTCACGCCTATAATCCCAGCACTTTGGGAGGCCGAGGCAGGTGGATCACCTCAGGTCAGGAGTTCGTGACCAGCCTGGCCAACATGGCGAAACCCCGTCTCTACTAAAAATACAAAAATTAGCTGGGCGTGATGGCAGGCGCCTATAATCCCAGCTACTCAGGAGGCTGACGCAGGAGAATCGCTTGAACCCAGGACACGGAGGTTGCAGTGAGCCGAGATGGTGTCATTGCACTCCACACTGAGCAACGGGAGCAAAACTCTGACTCACAAAAAAAAAAAAAAAAAAAGAATAGCAATAATTTAAAAAAAAATTCCACAGTATATACAAGGTCATCTGACAGCCCAAAATTTAGTTTTTATTTTCATTAAGGTTAACTGTGAGCATGCTTTATTTTTCTTTGTTTTCGAGTCAGGGTCTTGCTTTGTCTCAAAGGCTGGAGTGCTGAGGTGCTATCACAGCTCACTGCAGCCTCAACCTCCTGGGCTCAAGTGATCCTCCTGCCTCAGCCTCCTGAGTAGCTGGGACTACAGGCATGTATCTCCATGCCTGGCTAATTTTTTATTGAGGCAGGGTCTCACTATATTGCCCAGGCTGGTCTCGAATGCCTGGGCTCAAGCAATCCTCCTATCTTGGCTTCCCAAAGTGTTAGGATTACAGGCATGAGCCACCATGCCCAGCCAGAAGCACTTTCTAACGTTTGTTTGATAGTCACTTATTCTAATAAGTGCTACTTTGTGATTCTTCACAGTTATTGGCTATAAATCTCCAACTATGAAAGAAGAGAATTTAATTATCTTTCAATCATCTTGAACCCAGTAATGCATAAATATTTAACTAGTGTCATTCTCAATTCTTTCTACATAGTGAAGTCTTCCTTTTGGATAGAACAATAATCAATGTTTAGTTTACTATGCCTATAAAAATATTCTCAGCTAAGCCATAAGTTTTCCCCTATTTAAAACATTTTTTTTTTCCTGGAAATACTGTGTTGCTATTCCCAAGGTTAGTTTCCTATATAATTGACACTAATTCAGGCCCAATCTTCTCCGGAATAGTCTAACTGTCCTCTCGATATGTTCAAATACATCAGGAGTTCTGCAGTTTTCATCCCCTTGGTGATCTCTCTCCTGGAGCATCCTGACTGTCTCCAAACTGGACGGTTCCCCATATGTGACACACAGGTATCATTCTGGAATTTCTCCTTACCATCATCCTAGGCCGTTCTTCAGCCTGTTTTGAATTAGATACATATTACTAGATCCCATGTCATTCTCCTTCTCAGTTCCTTTGAATCACCTACCTCTTCCAGACCTTCCCCAGAAAAATCTCTTTTTGAGACCTTACAAGTCTGAAAATGTCTTTATTCTACCTACACTTAACTGACAGTTTGGCTGGGTATCTAAGTTGGTAACAATTTTCACCACAAACTTTGAAGGTGACTGCTCCCTCTCTGCATCCGGTGTTGCTAATGAGAAGCCAAACAATTTTAATTCCAGATCCTTTGTGTGTGACCTAGTTTTTCCTCTCTGGAAATGTTTAGGGTTAATGGTTTATTGTGTATTCTGAAATTTCACAATTATGGGGTCTGCCTTCCTTCAATACGTTAGGCACTTGGCAGTCCCTTTCTTTTATCTTCGTTGCAGAGATGAGGTCTTGCTGTGTGACCCAGGCTGGCCTGGAACTCCTGGCCTCAAGTGATCCCCCAGTCTCAGCCTCCCAAAGTGCAAGGATTAGAGCTATGAGCCACCCTTCCCAGCCAACAGGCCCTTTCAATCTAGAAAGTTCTGTCCTTCAATATAAAATTTCTTTGAACTATGTCTTTGATGATTTTCTATCCTACTTTTTTTCTTTTTTTCTCGTATCATTCTCATATTGGACCTTCTGGATAATTCCACCAGTGAATATTCTTATCTTTACTCTCCTATTTGAACCTCTTTATTTTACTCCTTTTATTGTACTTTCTGGAATATTTCTTCAACTCTATCTTCTATAGTACTGGGTTTTTCATTTTTACTACATTTAACCTCAACCATAAGCAAATAAATACCAAGCTAAAACAATGAGACTTTTTTCTTTTTCTTTTGCCTGTGAGTTTTGGCCAATATAAAAAAGTTTCATAATACCTAATGTTGGCTAAATGTGGGAAAACAATAAATGAAACTTCTTTGAAGAACAACTTTACAATATCTATCAAAATTCACAAAACATGTAAAACTCTTGACTCAGTAATTTTACCTCTAGGAATTTACCATGCATTTATACTTGTACAAATGTTCAAAAATATAGATATAAGCATTATTTGTTAATAGCAAAAAAAGAAAATCTTAAATATCCAACAGGAAGCAATTGATTATATAAACCATAATTATACCTGAAATATGCAACAATTTCAAAAACAACATTGATCTAGATATGGTGATATTGAATGACTTCTAAATGACTTAAGTGTGAAAAGCAAGATGGATACATAATTGTTTTTGGCTAGCCAGTAAGTGTTTAATGTGATTCCTAAATCCTGGATGTTCTTTTTTTTTTTGATGGAGTTTCGCTCTTGTCGCCCAGCTGGAGTGCAATGGTGTGATCTTGGCTCACTGCAACCTCCACCTCCCAGGTTCAAGGGATTCTCCTGCCTCAGCCTCCTGAGTAGCTGGGGATTACAGGCACCTCCCACCACACCCGGCTAATTTTTATATTGTTAGTAGAGACGGTGTTTCACCATGTTGACCAGGCTGGTCTCGAACTGCTGACCTCAGGTGACCCACCTGCCTCGGTCTCCCAAAGTGCTGGGATTACAGGCGTCAGCCACCGTGCCAGCCGATCCTAGATGTTCTTAAAAGTAGTAAATCTTTATTTTCTGAAAACTATTCTCTAAAGGATTGACTACCTCTATTTCAGACCTTATTTGTTGTATTTCACACAAATAGCATTCGTAAAAATACTTAAAGATTTTAGATAAATTATGTTATGCCAGATTTTTTTTTTTTTGAGACGAAGTTTCGCTCTTGTTACCCAGGCTGGAGTGCAGTGGTGCGATCTTGGCTCACCGCAACCTCTGCCTCTCGAGTTCAAGCGATTCTCCTGCCTCAGCCTCCCGAGTAGCTGGGATTACAGGTATGCACCACCATACTAGGCTAATTTTGTATTTTTAGTAGAGATGGGGTTTCTCCATGTCATTCAGGCTGGTGTTGAACTCCTGACCTCAGGTGATCTGCCTGCCTTGGCCTCCAAAAGTGCTGGGATTACAGGTATGAGCCACCATGTCCAGCTTTTTTTTTCTTTTTTAAGAGACAGTGTCTCACTATGTTGCCCCAGCTAGTCTTCAACTCCTGGCCTCAAGTGATCCTCCCACCTCAGCCTCCCAAAGTGCTGAATGAGCCTCTTATTTTCAGTAGTGTGCTAGGACTGGATTGTACTGGATCAAAAGGATATATTGTTAAATATGTATTCAAGAAAGCTGGTTGTTAATTGTAGCTAAAAATTGGCCATGGTGGGAGTATTCAAACCATGGAAATCAGCAAATACTACCAATCAGGGCTTTTTTTCTTTTCCTTCTGGAAAACTGATTTAGTAGTACAATCATCACCCCTATTTATACATAGGTGGGTTTAGTGAAATTATTTGGTTTCTGGAGATTCAGATCTATTTAGCAACGAGTCATTTCAATCATAACTATGGCATTCTTTATCTCATCTTCCATATTAGAAGTACTCTTGTCCAAGTTAATCAGATTATTTTTTAAGGTAGTAACAATCTATTCAAACATTAGCTTACCACTTATAACAGATATAAATTAGTCCAAACTGAAATACCTTTCTCCATTATATTCTTCTAGGGGAATTTCTTGAAAAGCATCCAAAGGAAACAAATGATGGTAAGACCGTGCCAAGTGGGGAGCAGACACCAAAGTAAGACCTAACACATTAAGCAGAGAGACATGTTGAGTAGTCCAAACCTCATGAAGACAACGGCTGAAAAGCCAAAAGATGTAACTTCAGCAGAATATGTTCAGTTTCTTTTAGGATGGCAGTTATTAATTTTACCTGTGGCTATAACAGAAGATTGTAGGATGGAGTCTTAGTTCTGTCACTAAGTGTGTAACCAACCTGTCTCGGTCTATTTGCTTACTTATATTATAAATGAAATAAAATTCGACAATTCTATTAGTTTAATTCTTCATTCTTATATATATTTACTTTATAAAGGTAAGAGATGGAAAAATGTCTACTACATCTACTGCACTGCCTTTAAAGAATATACTTTTTTCAGAAAGAGGATCAGGAAACTAGAATGCTACATTTATACGTGGAAGTGGAGTACTGGGCACTCAATTTAAAAAGTAATCTATTTTTCTTTGCACAGATTAAATCCAGAAACATAGGAATAACTTAACATTTACATTAATTTTAGCAGCAATACAGATTAAGAAGTCATTCAAGATTTACTGAATAATGAATAGTTGTTTTCTTACCACAGATTTTACATTCAACAGGTAGCTCACAGTACTTTGCCCGACACTGTGGGCAGAAATAGCCTCCTAATGTAAGCCCTGGCTCAGTATTGCCATCCAAATGCCTGTAGGGGGAAAAAGGGTAATATATAATGATCTGAAAAGTTAGAGCGGGAAAGCATGCTATCTTGACCTTAAAATCTTGACACTATTTAAAAATCTATTTAAAAGTCTGTATTTTTGGCCGGGCGCAGAGGCTCACACCTGTAATCCCAGCACTTTGGGAGGCCAAGGCGGGTGGATCACCTGAGGTCAGGAGTTCAAGACCAGCCTGGCCAACACGGTGAAGCCCCATCTCTACTAAAAAATACAAAAATTAGCCAGGCGCCTGTAATCCCAGCTACTTGGGAGGCTGAAGTAGAATTGCTTGAACCCAGGAGGCAGAGGTTGCAGTGAGCTGAGATTGCACCACTGCACTCCAGCCCGGGTGCCAAGAGTGAAACTCCATCTCAAAAAAAAAACAAAAGAAGTCTATATTTAAAAAAAAATTTATAACTTATATAGAGATGGGGGTCTCTCACTATATTGCTGGTCTTGAATTCCTAGCCTCAAGTGATCCACCTGCCTTAGCTTCCCAAAGTGCTGGGATTATAGGTGTGAGCCACCATGCCTGGTCTAAAAGTCTATTTTAAAATCTGTGAGTATGTCTTATAACTAAATTATGCTACATTCATTTTTTTCCCCCTCTTCATTTTTTTTTTTTTTTTTGAGACGGCTTCTCACTCTGTTGCCCAAGCTGGAGTGCAGTGGCACAATCTCAACTCACTACAATCTCCGCCTCCCAGGTTCAAGCAATTCTCGTGCCTTGGCTTCCTGAGTAGCTGGGATTACAGGCACGTGCTACCACACCCAGCTAATTTTTGTATTTTTAGTAGAGATGGGGTTTCATCATGTTGGCCAGGCTGGTCTCAAACTCCTGGTCTCAAGTGATCTGCCTGCCTCGGCCTCCCAAAGTGCTGGGATTACAGATGTGAGCCACTACACCCAGCCCTTCTCTTCATTTTTAAAGTCTCTATTACTATCTTTGAATTCACTAATTTTTTCTTCTGCAGTGTCTAATCTGCTGTTAATCCCAGCCAATATATTTTTCATCTAAAACACTGTATTCTTCATCACTAGAAGTTTGATTTGGGTCTTTTTTATACCTTCCATATCTCTTCTTACCATTCTCATGTTCTCTAACATCCTGAACATACAGAGTACATTTATAATTGTTGTCCTAACATCTTTGTCTACTAATTCTTTTTTTTCTTTTTTGATAAGAGTCTCGCTCTGTCACCCAGGCTGTAGTGAAATGGCACGATCTCAGCTCGCTGCAACCTTTACCTCCTGGGTTCAAGTCATTCTTGTACCTCAGCCTCCCAAGTAGCTGGGATTACAGGCGTGTGCCACCAGGCCTGGCTAATTTTTGTGTTTTTAGTAGAGATGGGTTTCGCCATGTTGGCTGTGCTGATCTCGAACTCCTGGGCTCAAGTGATCTGCCCACCTGAGCCTCCCAAAGTGCTAGCATTACAGGCAGGAGCTACCGCACCCAACCCTTTGTCTATTAATTCTACCAACTGGGTTATTTCTGGGTATGTTTCCATTCTGTGATTTTTCTCCATTTTATGGGTCATATTTTCCTTTGCATCCCTGGTAATTTCTGCCAGGGACTATGAATTTTGCTTTGCCAGACATTGTGAATTTTGCTTTGTTTTGGGTGCTGGATTTTTTCTTTTTTTTTTTTTTTTGTATTCCCTCAAATATTTAAGGGTTTGTTCTGAAATATACTTCATTAACTTGGAAATAGTTTAATCTCTTCAAAATTTGCTTTTAAACTTTGTTAGGCTGGTCTAGAACAGCTGTTAGTCTAGATTTTTCTTTTCTTTTCTTTTTGCCTCTGGTTCCAGTTCTTGTGATAGAATTAATTTGATCCCATTACTGTGGACTCTATTCAATGCCTGTCATGTTAAGAGGTATTTCCATACAGACTGGTGAGAACATGAATGTTCTCTGTGTGAGCTCTGGAAACTGTTCTGTCTGCTGCTTTCCAGTGATTTTTTCCCTGACTTCCAGTAGTCTCCTCACACAAAAGGGCTGATCAACGCTCAGCTGCTGACTCATGAGCAAGTCTATGCAGCTCCCCAGAGAGTTCTCTCTGTGCAGATCTTTCCTCTCCAGTACTCTGACCTGCAAAATTATCGCCATCTCAGCCTCCTTGAAAGATGAACTTTGTTTCTTCAACTCAACAACATCTCCAGCCTCTGTGTGCAGCCTGGAAATTCCATCCAGGCAGTAAGGTGGAGTGCTCTTAGGGCCCATCTCATTTGTTTCCTTTCTTTCAGGGATCATTATCAGCAAGGCTTGCTGTCCAACGTCTGAAAACCACTGTTTTATATATTTTGTCTGCTTTTTTTGACAGGAGGGTAAATCTAGTCCCTGTTACAGCTTTTTGGCTGGAGGCAGAAATCTTGTTTGTGATTTTTAAGAATTACTCTCTTAAATTTAATTTTGTTTTATAATTATGTAAAATACAAAGCTCTGAAGTTAAAACAAGGTACAGTAATATTCTATATAACATTTTGGTCAGTGATGAACCACATATATGACAGTGGTCCCATAAAATAATACATTTTAGTTGTACCTTTTCTGTGTTTAGTTAAACAAACACTAGGTGTTACATTACAACTGCCTACATTATTCAGTACACAATATGCTGTACAGGTGTGCAGCCTAGGAGCAATAGGCTATACTATATAACTGCGATGTTAGTAGGCTACACTATCTAGGTTTGTGTAAGTGCACTCTGTGATGTTTGCACAATGATGGTATCACCTAATGACACATTTCTCGGAATGTATCCCTATCATTAAGTGATGCATTCAGAAAAGTCTAGGGTCTAACCCTTTGCTTTTCCCTACACACTCACTGAGGTAAACATTAAAAAAAAAAATTTCCCCCTCCACCCCTTTTAAGTTTTTATTATTTCCATACTATTGTTTTTATTATTAACATAAACAAGTATATACATCCACTTACATCTCTACTTTCTTCTTAGGTGATTAGCAGCATACTACAAAATTCTCTCAAACTACTGTTTTACTTAGTAATTTATCCTGAAGATCACTCCATACAAGTATATAGAGATAGTCTTCATTGCCTATCTTTTGAATTTATAACTTAAAAGAAGGAATTAAAAATGTAAAAACATTATCACTGATATTTTCAAGGTCTTTACTTACGCCATGCTGAAAGAGGGTTTTGCATCCTGGTCAGATAAAGAAGCAATGGTGTGCTGAGGAAATCCTTCATAGAAGAAAATGTATTACTTTCTTTTTCCAAGCAAACAGCAGAATTCTAGGACTAAGAACCTAAAAATGTTCTTCTCAAAAAGCCAATGAAGTTGTACAAAATATCACTTTACTGCCTTTCAGATAAGCTTATTATAGCATGATGAAACTGACTAATTCCAAGCTACAAGAAAAAGTAGAGGAAACGGGGGAAAGACCTGTCTATATATGACCTCAGATTCTGAAGTTCATATATATATTTTTCTTTTTTTTTTTTCTTGAGATGGAGTCTTGTTCTGTCACCCAGGCTGGGGTGCAGTGGCATGATCTTGGCTCACTGCATCCTCCACTGCCTGGGTTCAAGCGATTCTCCCACCTCACCTTCCCATGTAGCTGGGATTACAGGCATCCGCCACCATGCCCAGCTATATATTTTCTAACTTAATGATTAACACTACTTTTTAAAGAGGTTGTAATTTTTACATCATTTCTGATAAAACTGAAGATATCATAGTACACCATTTTATCTACGTTTATGCTTTTATGTTTAAAATTTTGAAATGCTCAAATCTTTCATGTAATTTGTTTTCCATATACAATTTTAAATTCTGAAAACATGTTCAGGAAAAGCAGAAACCATTTTAAAAAAGATATATTACATAAAAAATGTAAATGTATCTACATATCAAAACAAATAAATAAAAGTAAAGGCAAATAACCAACAAGAAAAATATTTGCATCGGGTGACTGAGAAGGGTTAACATTCCTAAAGGACTCTAATAAATAAATTATAAATTTAAATAACTTTAAAATGAAATAAGAAAATATATCAGTAAATCAAAAAGATTAGCCAAACATAAGATCTAAAATGTATTGAATGTTTACATCAAGCATTATTCTAAACGCATCATCTGTATTAACTCAATCCTTGAAACACACAATAAGGTTGATAGTTACTGACATCATTAAACACATGAGAAGACCGTGGAAAAGAGAGGTCGACTGGTAATATAAAAGGCCAAAAGTAGAAAAGCATTTTATTTCATTAACATTTAAAAACATACATATTAAATAAGGAGATTATTTTTCTATTAAAAGTTATACTTTTTTCAATATAAATGTAATAAATTTTCATTGTAACATTTTTGTAAAATAGAAGAAAATAACATTTTAAAAAAGTGATCCAAGGCCGGGCACAGTGGCTCAAGCCTGTAATCCCAGCACTCTGGGAGGCCGAGGCGGGCGGATCATGAGGTCAGAAGTTCAAGACAAGCCTGGCCAACATGGTGAAACCCCGTCTCTACTAAAAATACAAAAATTAGCTGGGCATGGTGGTGCCCGCCTGTAATCCCAGCTACTCGGGAGGCTGAGGCAGGAGAATTGCTTGAACCTGGGAAGCGGAGGTTGCAGTGTGAGCTGAGATCGCACCACTGCACTTCCAGCCTAGGAAATAGAATGAGACTCCATCTCAAAAAAAAAAAAGAAAAAAAAAAGTGATCCAAAACCAATAATTTCCCCTCCTTTGAGCAATTTGGTGTACTTCCCTGCAAGCTTTGTCTTTGCACAGTTTGCATTACACAGCTTTGATCATCCAGTACAGAGAATTTTGTAGCTTATTTTATTTTTATTTTATTTTATTTTTTTGAGACAGAGTCTTGCTCTGTCACCCAGACTGGAGTGCAGTGGCGCAATCTCAGCTCATGGCAACCTCCGCTTCCTGAGTTCAGGCAATTCTCCTGTCTCAACCTCCTGAGTAGCTGGGATTACAGATGTCTGCCACCATGCCCAGCCATTTTTTGGTAATTTTTAGTAGAGACAGGGTTTCGCCATGTTGGCTAGGGTGGTCTCAAACTCCTGACCTCAGGTGATCCGCTAGCCTCGGCCTCCCAAAGTGCTAGGATTACAGGCATGAGCCACCACGCCCGGACTTTGTAGCTTATTTTAAAAAATTTTTAATATAAGTGTTTTTCTTTTGTTTTCTTTTTTGAGACAGAGTCTCGCTCTGTCGCCCAGGCTAGAGTGCAGTGGTGTGATCTTGGCTCATTGCCAGCTCTGCCTCCCGGGTTCATGCCATTCTCCTGCCTCAGCCTCCCGAGGAGCTGGGATTACAGGCGCCCGCCACCACGCCTGGCTAATTTTTTGTATTTTTAGTAGAGATGGGGTTTCACCGTGTTAGCCAGGATGGTCTCGATCTCCTGACCTCAAGATCCGCCCACCTCGGCCTCCCAAAGTGCTGGGATTACAGGCGTGAGCCACCGAGCCCGGCTTAATATAAGTATTTTTCTATAAACACAGTTTATACCTTTCTAGCCTTAAAAATAAAGAAAGCCAACAGTATTTTCTGGGTGACAGGACTACTGGTAGTTTTAATTTTTTTTTTCCACTTCTCTGTACTTTCCAAAATTGCTTCAACAAGCATATTTTTTCTTTAAAAATTCTTAAATATTAAAATAACTTGTGCAAATGAAAATAGAGAGCCTAGATATGTATTTTTTAAAAACATAAAAACACTTACCCATACGAATAAGTGAGCATTCAGAACTTGAGCTAGCAGGAGGAGGACTAACATGATGTGTGAGCAACTCTTTGTAATGGCTTTCATCTAAAATAACATGGTACGTGCCTAACAAGATGAAAAGGGAAAAAAAAACACCTTCATAGACATAACGAACTGTACGTTCTACGTAATTCTGTAAAAGTTGTATCATCTGAAAATGTACATTTTTAAAATAATGATTTTAGCTAAATTATCACTTTTAAAACCTTATTTAAGTAATATATCTAAATCAACTTCTCTAGGAATAACTATAATTACAATTGATTATTATTACTACTATTATTATTTTAACATATAAATAGAGACAGGTCTCACTATGTTAACCAGACTGATCTCAAACTTCTGGCCTCAAGTGATTCTCCTGCCTTGGCCTACCAAAATGTTGAGATTACAGGCATGAGCTATCATGCCTGGCCTGTAATTACAATTTAATTAAAGACAAGTTATAAAATCTTTATAAAGAATTACATACAGTAAAATTTCCAGCTTTCCAAGAGTTATAATACCTCCTCTAAATACTGACATAAGTACTGAAAACTCTTTGCATTTGGAGATGATTTCTTATGGAATCAATGATATATTTAAGATGACTGCCCATATTTTAGACTACTTTAAGTTTAGTAGCTCAGAACAGATTAAAACATCCTAATTTAATTAATAAATTATTTCCTACACAGTAATTATAAGCAAATATTAAATAAATTATATATATACCACCAGTTTCACGAGCAAGTACAGTGCAAACGCGAACTTCTGCAGACAATCCAATAACAGATACTCTAATTTTAGCTGCCTTTAGGGTCTTCATAAAATCCAAGTAGATAGATAGTTTTAGGAAAGAAGAAAAACATTTAAGATTTAATGTATTTGAAAAATAAAGAATGCTCTGAAAACTAGTAATAAATTCAATACATCTACCACAAAGATGAATCACACATACAAAAATACATATATATATAAATCAATTTGCTACAGAATTCTCTTTACAGTTATAACTTTGGTTTTGATTTTTTGGTCTACCTTGATTAGATCATAAATATTAGATGGATCGCAAGTTGTAAGGCTGCTAAAGATGATTAGTACTTCTCGACTTGTATGTCCAGGCATGTGTCTTAAAAGAAAGATAAAATACACTCCAATTAGGTACAACAAATTATACTACCAAAAAATTTACCCAGAAAGAACAGTAAACATAGGATTACACATTTAGACTATAGAATATCTCATTTGTTTCAACAATGCAAAGAAAGGTTGTGAGTATATTTTAAACACTTTAATGCAAATTTTTCTAAAATGAGCTATGCACTTCAAAAAATTGTTAATTGATTCATTTAATATTTACCAAGTACTCTCAAGTTCTGGGGGTAGAGTGATAAACAAGACTGACAATGTTCCCGACATCATTAAGCTTACATTCTAGTAGGTTTGTTTCATACAAAGTCTAGAGTATACAATAAAAAATACAACAATATATGGATAAACTTTAAACTAAAATGTGGCAATATCATATGGATCAGCTTTAAAGTGCAGAGATGTGGCTTCAAAACAGTAACACACACTTCTTTCTCAAAGACTATAGTAGTCCCCTCTTATCTGCAGAGGATACATTCCAAGACCCCCAGTGGATACCTGAAATCAAGGATAGTACTGAACCCTATATATACAGTCGTTCTTCGGTATCCTTGGGGGATTGATTTCAGGCCCTCCTATGGATACCAAAATCTGCAGATGTTCAAGTCCCAGATACAAAAGGGCGTAGTATTTGCATATAACCTATGTACATCCTCCCATATATTTTAAGTCATCTCTAGATTATTGATAATACCTAATACAATGTATACTATGTAAGTAATTGTTATCCTCTATTATTTAGGGGATAATGGCAAGAAAAAATGTCTATTTGTTCAGTACAGGTACAATTTTTTTCCAAAAATTTTTGATGCGTGGTTGATCGAATTCACAGAAGCAGAACCCAGGATTCAGAGGGCTGATTATACCATGTTTTTCCCTATACAGGCATACCTTGGAGATACTGCAGGGTTGGATTCCAGACCGCAGCAATAAAGCAAATATCACAATAAATATTTGCAATAAAGCAAGTCACATGAACTTTCAGGTTTCCTAGTGTATATAAAAGTTCTGTTTACGGCCAGGGATGGTGACTCACGCCTGTATTCCCAGCACTTTGGGAGGCTGAAGCGGGCACATCACGAGGTCAGGAGATCGAGACCATCCTGGCTAACACGGTGAAACCCCGTCTCTACTAAAAATACAAAAAAATGAGCCGGACGTGGTGGCAGGAGAATGGTGTGAACCCAGGAGGCGGAGCTTACAGTGAGCCAAGATTGCGCCACTGCACTCCAGCCTGGGCGACAGAGCGAGACTCCGTCTCAAAAAAAAAAAAAAGAAAGAAAAAGAAAAGTTCTGTTTACACTATACTGTAGTCTAGTAAGTGTGCAACAGCATTATATCTAAAAAAAAAAGTACACACCTTTATGAAAAATACTTTATTGCTAAAAATCGACTGAACTGTCAGTGAATAATATCTTTTTGTTGAAGGAGAGTCTTGCCTTGATATTGATGGCTGCTGACTGATCAGAGTGGTGCTTTCTGAAGGGTGAGGTGGCTATGGCAATTTCTTAAAATAAGACAAAGTAGTTTGTTACATGGGTCAACTCTTCCTTTCATGAAAGGAATGCAAATGCTGTTTGGTAGCATTTTATTCATAGTAGTACCTCTTTCAAAATGGGAGTCATTCCTTTGAAACCCCACTGATGCTTTACCAACTAAGTTTATGGGCTATTCTTTTTTTGTTTTGAGACTGATTCTTGCTCTGACACCCAGGCTGGAGTGCAGTGGTGCGATCTCGGCTCACTGCAACCTCTGCCTCCTGGGTTCAAGCAATTCTCCTGCCTTAGCCTCCCCAGTAGCTGGGATTACAGGCATGCACCACCATGCCCAGATAATTTTTGTATTTTTAGTGAGGACGGGGTTTCACCATGTTGGCCAGACTAGTCTTGAACTCCTGACCTCAAGTGATCCACCCGCCTCGGCCTCCCAATGTGCTGGGATTACAGGCATGAGCCACCATGCCCAGCCAGTGTAGATATTTTGACCTCTTTCTATGAATGGCATTTAGAATGGTGAATTCTTTCCAGAAGGTTTTCAATGTACTTTGCTCAGATCCATCTATGGCAGTCACAGCCTTATGATATGTATTTCTTAAATAATCAAGACGTGAAAGTTCAAAGTATTCCTTTATCCAAGGGTTGCAGAATGAGTGCTATGTTAGTAGATATGAAAATAACATTAATCTTCTTGTACATCTCAATTAGAGCTCTTGGGTGACTGGGTGCATTGTCAATGAGCAATAATATTTTGAAATAAATCTTTTTTCTGAGATATATCTCAACAATGGGCTTAAAATATTCAGTAAGCCCATGCTGTAAACAGATGTGCTGTTATCTGGGCTTTGTTATTCCATTTGCAGAGCACAGACTGAATAGATTTAGAATAATTCTTAAGGACTCTAGGATTTTCAGAATGGTAACAAACATTGGTGCCAACATCAAGTCACCAGCTGTATTAGCCCCTAACAAGAGAAGAAGCCTATCCCATGAAGCTCTGAAACCAGGCATTCACTTCTTCTAGCTATGAAAATCCTAGATGGCATCTTCTTCCAACAGAAGGCTGTTTCATTTACATTGAAAATATGAGGCCAGGTGCAGTGGCTCATGCTTGTAATCCCAGCACTTTGGGAGGCAGAGGCGGAGGACTGCTTGAGCCCAGGAGTTCAAGACCAGCTGGGCAATGTGGCGAAACCCTACCTCTACAACAACAACAACAACAAAAATTAGCTGGGTGTGGTGGCACATGCCTGTAGTCCCTGCTACTTGTGGGGCTGGGAGAATAGCTTGAGCCTGGGAGTTTGAGGCTGCAGTGATCCATGATTGCACCACTGCACTCTAACCTGGGTGACAGAGCGAGACTCTCTCTCAAAAACAAAAAAGAAAAAGAAAATTTGATATTTAGTGTAGTCACCTTCATCAATTATTTTAGCTAGATCTTCTGGATAACTTGCTGCAGCTTCTACATCAGCACTTGCTGCTTCCTCTTGCACTTTTTTTTTCTTTATTTTGAGACGGAGTCTCACAGTGTTGTCTGGGCTAAAGTGCAATGGCGCGATCTCGGCTCACTGCAACCTCTGCCTCCTGGGTTCATGCGATTCTCCTGCCTCAGCCTCCCGAGTAGCTGGGATTATAGGCGCACACCACCACACCTGGCTAATTTTTTGTATTTTTAGTAGAGACAGGGTTTCACTATGTTGGCCAGACTGGTCTTGAACTCCTGACCTCATGATCTGCCCACCTTGGCCTCCCAAAGTGCTGGGATGACAGGCGTGAGCCACCGCGCCCAGCCCCTCTTACACTTTTATGTTTTGGAGATGGCTTCTTTCATTAACCTCATGAGCTCAGCTCTGTTAGCTTCAAACTTTTCTTCTGCAGCTTCCTCACTGCTCTCAGCCTTCATAGAATTGAAGAGAATTAGAGCCTTGCTTTGGATTAGGATTTGACTTAATGGACTGTTGTGGCTACTTTAATCTTCTATCTAGACCATTAAAACTTTGTCTGTATCAGCAATAAAGCTGTTTCACTTTCTTATCATTCATGTGTCCACTGAAGCAGCACTTTGAATTTCCATTATTTTTTTCTTATTTTGAGACAGGATCTTGCTCTATCATACAAGCTGGAGTACAGTAGCACAATCGTAGCTCACTGCAGCCTCAAACTACTGGGCTCAATCCTCCTGCCTCAGCCTCCTGAGAAGTTAGGGACTACATACAGGTGCTCGCCACTGTGCCTGGCTAATTGTTTTTTTTTTTTTTTTTTTTTTTTTTTGTAGAGGTGGAGGTCTTGCTATGTTACCAGGACTGGTCTCAAACTCATGGCCTCAGGTGATCCTCCCATCTTAGCCTCCCAAAGTGTTGCAGTTACAGGTAAGAGCCACCACGCACAGCCCAGCACTTTCAATTTCCTTCAAGAACTTTACCTTTGCATTCACAATGTGACTAAGTGTTTAGCACAAGAGACCTAGCCTTCAGCCAGTCTTGCATTTTGACATGCCTTCCTCACTAAGCTCAATCATTTCTAGCTTTTGATTTAAAGTGAGACATGCGACTCCTCCTTACTCTTGAACACTCAGAGGCCACTGGAGGGTTATTATTGGTGTAATTTGAATATTTTTGTGTCTTAGGAGATGGGGGGGCCGAACAGAGGGAGAGAGACTGGAAAACAGCCAGTTGGTGGAGCACTCAGAACACACGTAACACTTATCAATTAAGTCTGTTGTCTTATATGGGCGCAGTTTGTGGTGCCCTAAAATAATTACAATAGTAACATCAAAGATCACTGATCACAGATCACCATAACAGATATAACAATAATTTACAAAGCTTGAAATATTGCAAGAACTACCAAAGTGTGATATAGAGGCAAGAAGTGAGCACATGCTGTTAAAAAAAAATGGCACCAACAGACTTGCTCAACAGAGTTGCCATAAACTGTCAGTTTGTAAAAAAAAAAGTTATCTGAAAAGTGCAATAAAAGTGCAACAAAATGAGGTGTGCCTTACATACACACCTATGATCAATAATGTATAAATTAGGCACAATAAGAGATTAACAACAATAACTAATAATGGAACATTTATAACAACATGCCGGCATCACTACTCCTGCACTTTGAGGTCATTATTAAGTAAAATAACACAAACACTGCAATAGTTTTGACAGTCAATAACAACAGTTAATCTGATGACTTAGGCCATTACATGGGTGGGCAGCATATACTGTGAGGATCTACAGGACCAAGGGATGATTCACGTCCTGGGCAGGACAGAGAGGGAAGGTGTAGGATCTCATCACGCTACCCAGAATGGCACACAACTTAAATCTTATGAATTATTTATTACTGAAGTTTTCAATTTAATATTTTCAGACCAAGAGTAACTAAAACTGGAAAGTGAAACTGCAGATAAGGGGGGATTACTATAATTTAACCTCACAGTAATTCAGAGTCATAATAATCATGAACATTAATATTGCATACCATTTAATTAAAATGATAGCTTGTAGATTTTTAAGTTGTGGTGACCAGTTTTCACCTACACTAAATAGACCTTTTTATGCTTTCTGCAGCAATTTTATCAGTTAGTTATAGCTTTCCTGCTTATATTTTCATTGTTATCTTCTCAGCTCTCACTGGTAGACCCTGCTACTGTACTTACCTCTATTACATGTGTTGCCTCCTTCTCATCCACTTCAAAACTAGAAAAATATCTATTATATAAAGGTATAAGTCTGAGCCAGGGCGGACTATCCAGAGATAAAATATATAAGCTTTAGGGAGGCTGAGGTGGGCGGATCGCTTGAGGCCAGGAGTTCAAGACCAGCCTGGCTAACATGGTGAAACCCCATCTGTACTAAAAATACAAAAATTGGCTGGGCATGGTGGCACACACCTGTAATCCCAGCACTAGGGAGGCTGAGGCACAAGAATCACTTGAACCCAGAGGTGGAGGTTGTAGTGAGCTGAGATCACGCCACTGCATGCCAGCCTGGGTGACAGAGCAAGACTCTGTCTCGAAAAAAAATATATATATACGTGTGTGTGTGTGTGTGTGTGTGTGTGTGTGTGTGTGTGTGTGTATATATAATAGATATATAAGCTTTAACTTATATATGTAAGTTTAACATATATATAAGCTTTATATATATATGTATAATAAATTATATATATAATATGTATATAAAGCTTATATATATATATAAGCTTTAACTATACCAAGTATTTCCTTTGGGGTCTTAGCTCTATTCCATATAGCTGAACTTGCCATATCTATTAATTTACAGATATATGACATTGGTGCAAAAGGAACTGTGGTTTTGGCCATTACTTTCAAAATAAATTAATAAATGTTAATAAAGGTACAACCAACTTACAATTATTATACTATATTAAATCTCATTTTAATAAAATATTTTTTCATCAACATATTTTTGTACTATTGATACTGCCGACAGTTTTAAATTATATTTTTATAAAACCTTTAACAATATCTTACTAAAATGTAAAATAAAGATTACTAACCAACACCACACTAAACATCATAAATAACACTACATAATTCTTGTACTTAACAATTTTGTTATAGCTGGGTTTATGGGCCCCATATTAACACATCACTTCAGCTTAACTCATTTAAAAAACTTCTAATTCAATTATACATAATGTATAATACTAACTTTAGAGTCTGCATAGCTATGCTTAGGGAATTATAAAGAGATGGCTCTCCATGGCAGGTCATATCCACAGCTTTCTTCAAAGACGTTATATGTTTTCTTGGGTTTCCTAAAATAGAAATAAGATCTTTAAATAAAATCCTATATATTAAAAAAGTTTATGTTTCTCTCAAAATTTACATATCTATGATGTTAAAGAACAGAATCCTTTCAATGTATATTTCTGTTGGAATTTTATCTGCAATATTTTGTAAACACTCTCACTTCATACTGAAAAACAGAATACAAATAATCTCCTTATAGACTAGCATACATATTTTAAAATAATGCTAACCTAGAGTGCATTTTTTTACTCTTAATATTTCCATATTTCATCATTTTTAAGACCAATACATTTTCACATTTAACATCTCTGAAATCAGCATGTGTTTAATAATCACTGGTAGCCAGCAGCACTTGTAACATAGTCTTTGCCTGTTCATATGTGAACCTACAAATAGGTCTTCATATGTTGTTGCTTCAATTGCATTATGTACATTGTCCTCTTCATGGTGAGTTTAACTGCCATTTAAAATGTTTTTAAGGCCAGGCGCGGTGGCTCACGCCTGTAATCCCAGCACTCTGGGAGACCACGGCAGGCAGATAACCTGAGGTCAGGAGTTTAAGACACACCTGGTCAACATGGTGTAAATCCCATCTGTAGTAAAAATGCAAAAATTAGCTGGGTATGGTGGCATACACCTGTAATCCCAGCCACTAGGGAGGCTGAGGCACAAGAATCACTTAAACCCAGAAGGTGGAGGTTGCAGTGAGCTGAGATTGCACCACTGCACTCCAGCCTGGGCAACAACAGCGAAACTCCATCTCAAAAAACAAACAATAAAATGTTTTTAGAAATGTTGTTAATACAAAAGGCTATATTTTTATGTAGAAAGGTGTGGAACACAGCAGTGAGGCATAAATTTATTATAATGAATCAAATATTGATGGAAGAATGCATGCAATTCCGTATTTTTCTTGAGGGAAGAAATCAAGAACTTTACAAGACCTAAGAAACGAATATTCCCACAAACAGACGAAGCTGTGTTATCTTACCAAATAGCATCTGAAAAGATTGTCTATCTTATGCTAAGCAATTCAAATGAAGGGGGGAGAAGCTGCCAAATCCTTTTTTTTCTTTTTAATATAATATTTTTTTATATTATTTATATTTAGATTATATATATATCTGTTGCCAGGCTGGAGTGCAATGGGGCAATTTTGGCTCAATGCAACTTCCACCTCCCAGGCTCAAACCATCCTCCCACCTCAACCTCCCAAGTAGCTGGGACTACAAGTGCCCAGCACCACACTTGGCTAAATTTTTTTGTATATTTTTGGTAGAGACAGGGTTTCACCATGTTGTCCAGGCTAGTCCTGAACTCCTGGATTCAAGCAATCCTCCCGCCTCAGCCTCTCAAAGTGCTGGGAGTACAGGTGTAAGTCACCACGCCTGGCCCCCAAATTTGAGATGTCTGTACATGTCAAATTACCAAGAAGCTAGTATAGCCAACTCATATATCATTTGATACTGTGTCAAAGTTTAACTACTAGGACTTTTCCTTCTTAATGGCTTATAAAAGTATCTTGTAATTGATGGAATCTGAGTTTCAATGAAATATAGTATTCCGTAAACATTTTCCATTTCAGCACTGTCTTCGTATCAATCAATAACCTAAGTATCATTAAATTGATTTTGTCATAAAATATAATCCATCAAAGCATACTATTAAACATTTAATTTTTAATCTGTCACTATTATACATAATGTTACAAAGAGTATCTTTGTAGAGTGATCATTCTCCTTCCATAACATTCCCTAAATATAATTTCAGGAACAATTTTTATGCTTTTCTAAAAAATATTGAACTAATTTGTAAGACTATCAGCACTATAAATAACAGTTTCTCTGTGGTTCCACAAGCAACATATTGCTTTGGAAACTTAATTTTGCTCATTTAAAATATATTAAAAAATAAAATGTTATGTAATTGGGTGGAGTTTTTTTGGATTACTAGTTTCCCTGATTTAATTTCTGGGTTTCTTCTGTGTGAATCATGTCTTCTTTGTCTATTCATCAACTTGGAGCTCCCTTGAGTTTTTACTCATCTGAGTAAGTTTTAAAATATTAACCATTTGTAATATTTAATATTTACTGCAAGTATTTTAGATTCATAAATTTTAGAGATGAAAAGTACCTCGCTAAGCAGTCCAAATCCCTCACTTCATAAGTGAGAAAATTAATCTAAACAAGTGAAATGACTTGCCCAAAGACATATGCCTGCTTAACTGCAGGACCAGCAGCACCCAAACCTAGATCTCCTGGCTCTCTATCCACTTCTCTTCCTACCCTACAAAATTATTTTTAATCTCCCACTGTGTTATGGGTATAGGAAAAAAGCATACTACAATAGTGTCAGTGTGGTTTACAGCAGTGGTCTGATTGGAGGGAAAAAAAGGTGGCTTCAAGAGGCCTGTCAGAATCTCCAGAATATTTTTCATCTTTATACATGACTTCACTAACATCCATAGAAAACTGCTGGGGCCGGGCATGGTGGCTGATGCCTGTAATCCCAACACTTTGGGAGGCTGAGGTGGGTAGATCACCTGAGGTCAGGAGTTCGAGATCAGCCTGGCCAGCATGGTGAAATCCTGTCTCTACTAAAAATAAAATTAGCCAGGTGTGGCAGCGCACACCTGTAATCCCAGCTACTCGGGAGGGGGAGGCAGGAGAATCACTTGAACCCGGGAGGCGGAGGTTGCAGTGAGCCAAGACAGCACCGCCTGGGCGACAGAGTGAGAGACTCCTTCTCAAAAAAAAAAAAAAAAAAGAAGTAATAGAAAACTGCTGGTAACTCGGGGTGGGTAAAGTGAGAGGAAAATATTGACCTTATATTCCTACCTTGGAGGAACCATCCTTCTTCCACTATATAATAATCCTGCTTAGTTCATGTGGTGCTGACCCTACTTCTATCCTGCTCTGGGCATCAGCAGGCAATCGAAGCGTACAAACAAAATACTTCATTTCCTGGCCACTTTGTTCATGGATGGGCAGATCGTAACTCAGGCCAATCAGAGTTCTCCCTAGACGTGTGCTGAAGCTATAGGCTACGGGTACAATGTAGACTGGGACAATTAAGAGACATCTTTTCAACTTCCAGAAAATCTATCAGAGAATGAAGCCAGACAAAGCCAGGACCCCAACATATGCAGCAACTATATATGGAATTGGCCCACCTTTGAACATAGCCCAAAATTTTCCTTCTGCACTTAAGCTAGTGTGACATTCTTTTGGTTACTCACAACTGAGTTTCTTGAATCACTCCAGGCCAATGTACATTTCACTCCTCACTGCATTTAATGAAAAACTACTAATGAAGAAAGTATGTCATTTCCCTTATGTGTGCCGGCAAGGATAAAAGGTTGAAAACCAGATTTAAGGGAGAGTGTATTTCACAGAAAATAAAATAGAATCAGTGATGCAAATTTGTAACAGCATATATACCAAAGCAAATAAAAAATGCCATTACTACGTTTTGAAACTAAAATTCAGTTAGGTATGTCATGGAAGCAGAAAAATTGATTCATTAGCAATAGCTACAGTTTAATTTTTATACTTTTTCCCTTTTAAATTAGATGCTTAACTTTCTAAGAATTTAATTTTAAGATTAACTGGATTTTATAAATGATTACAATAACTGTATTTTAATATTTTCAGGATAAGGCCGGATGCGGTGGCTCAAGCCTGTAATCCCAGCACTTTGAGAGGCTGAGGCGGGCTGATCACAAGGTCAAGAGATTGAGACCATACTGGCCAACATGGTGAAACCCCGTATCTACTAAAATACAAAAAATTAGCAGGGCGTGGTGGCGGGCATCTGTAGTTCCAGCTACTCAGGAGGCTGAGGCAGGGAATCGCTTGAACCCGTGAGGCGGACTTTGCAGTGATCCGAAATTGTGCCACTGCACTCTAGCCTGGCGACAGAGCAAGACTCCATCTCCAAAAAAAAAAAAAAAAAAAGGAAAGAAAAAAAATTTCAGGATAAGCACATATAGATTTTAAATAAAAACATTTATATTCAATGTAGTATTATTTACCACTACGCAGAACTCAATTTAGAATAGTTAACCTTGTATCCTAAGAATATAATGGTGGGGGAGATGTTATTAAATTGTTTCACCTAGAGAAGACAGAGGAACCACCCTTCACGTTACTTATTAAGCAGCCATATAAACAGGGCTACGAGGTTGGGTAAATAAAGCAAAGTCCTTGAGTCATGTAAAGGTAATTTTATGCATACCTGAAAGTTCAGTCAATTTTTCAGCTCTTTTACTCTTAGTTACAATTATTCCAATCTTGAAATAAAAACAAAAATTATTATTAATATAACAAGTTATTTCCTCCCATTAAGAATATATATAACTATTCCTGTAGATGATATTGGAGCAGAAAAAAAAATAATTTATATAGCTAAAATAAACTAGTAATTACAAAAGAAAGAAGCAACAGGTGAGAAACTTTTTCTCATGCTGTTTTTGGCAAATAAATTTAGCTATGAGTTCACATTACGTTTAACTTTTAGAGTTATTACGCTTTTCATTTTTAAGTATACCAGAAACTGGTTAAACAATTTGGGTAATTCACAAAATACATGTCCAATTTTTAAAAATAAATTACATTTGGAAGCAAAATAGGAATCTAATTCTGAATTCTATCACTTAGATACGTACCTGACTAATAGGATTTTGATCAAAATATTCCTCTACAAAGTATTCCAACAACTGTTTAAACAAAAAAAGACATACTAGATAAAGGCAAAATAACAATCATAAAGAACACGTCCAACTGATGTTTGTGAAACCTGTTAATCAAGCGTCACTTCTCATGACTTTTAAACTTACAGATTTTCAAAAACTGTTAAGTAATAAAAATATTAAACAGTAAAAACGTTAATTTGAAATGGTGGGTGATGAGACAGGTTTGAGCTAGGTTTTAAAAGATGGAACCATTTGGATGTGTCAGAAGAAATTTCAATGAGGAAAAGATCCAATGAAGAGAGATGGGAGAACGAGCAGAATTGAGAATAGGTTTTGATAAATTAGGAATACGAACATATTTGTAATCTGAGGAGACAGAGTTAAGTAAGGCAAAGGAGAATGAAGATTCAAGAAAGAAAAGGGATAACTGATAAACCAAGATCCTGATGTGGGGTGGGAGGATAGAAATTAAAAACACAAATAATTAGCTATGTTGGTTTAAAATTTCCCTAAATAACCTGGCAGTACTTCTACTTAGCTATCATTAGCATTAACTAAAAATACAAGGCAAAAAATAAAAAATATTGCATTCTTTAAAAATATCCTTTAGAATCCAGTGTTCTTCCCCACTTTTTTAGTAAAAGTTTAAGTGATTTTGGTACAAATTTAAATGATTTAGTATAAACTTAAATTTTACCTTTAAAGTACACGTCAGTCTATTAGGCTTTAAATCTTGGTCTTCCATTGTTCTTGATCCATCTACTACCACATAAAGGTGGCGCATCTATCGGAAAAAAGAAAGGGCCAATTTCAAGTACTTGTTTTGTTTTGTAGAAACTGGGTCTCGTTCTGTTGCCCAGGTTGGTCTCAAACTCCTGGGCTCAAGCAATCCTCCTGCCTTGGCCTCCCAAAGTGCTGGGATTATAGGCATGAGCCACTGTGCCCAGCCTCAAGTGCCATTTTGACTAGTAAAAATGGCATTTAATAATTACATATTCTATGCACGTATTTTTAACATATTCTTTTAAAAACTTTGTTGTTTTGCTATTGTTTTTTCTAGCAAGACAGAATGTTTCTCTAACCTAAACTAGTTCTGTACTAGTAAAAGAAAAAATAATGACATACCATTCCAAGTCGAACTTGTCCATGGTGCTCAAATACTCTGTTAAAATTATACAAACATTTTAATGTAATTCCATATACTATCCCCCCCCACAAAAAAAATACAACTTTCCAATTGACCTCCTTTGTTTTTCTTTTTTTCTAATTCTGAGTAAGAATGTCATAACGTGCATTTTTAGTGGAGTAAATAATTAACTTATGGAATACAATACACACAATTATAGGTATTGTAGACAGTCTCTAAAGACCATTTCCTGCTGGGGCAAGGGTAGGTGGCTAGTTCTTTCCCCATAGTCAGAAGGCAATAGGTCAGTTACCCTGAAACACAGCTAAAATGAAGTACTGAGGAGTATTTATAGATAGAAAGGCTTAAAATGAATATATTTTACCTTTTTAAGATACATAGGAAGGTTACATACCTTTTTCTCTTTGCCTTGAATAGAATGTCTTCTATTGTAGCTTTAAGTGATCCAGATTCATCTTCTTTAAGAATCTCCCTATAAGTCATAATTATTTGTTTGAAAAGACAAGCTAAAATGATTACTAGCCCAAATGAAATGAAAATATATGTCCACACAAAGATTTGCATGTAAGTGTTCATGGCTGCATTTTCCTAACAGTCAAAAACTGTAAAGAACCTAAATATCCACAGACTAGTGAATGGATAAACAATAATGTGGCATAACCATAGATGGGAATACTATTCAGCAATAAAAAAGGAATGAAGTATTAATACACACTGCATCATGGATGAGTCTTAAAAATAAGTGAAAGCCAGCCACAACAGACCAACTATTATAGTCATGCATCGCTTACTGACAGGGATACATTCTGAGAAATGCATTGTTAGGCAATTTCATTATTGTGTGAATATCACAGGGTATACTTACACAAACCTAGATGGTATAGCCTATCCCACGCCTAGGTTACAAACCTGTACAGCACGTTACTATACTGAATATCTTAAGACAACTGTAACACAATGGTCAGTATTTGTATATCTAAACATACATAGAAAAGGTAGAGTAAAAATACAGTATTATAATATTATGGGACCATTGTCATATATGCAGTCTGTCTTTGACCAAAACATCATTATGTGGCACATGATTGTATATGATCACATTTTTGTGAAATGTCCAGAAAAGGTTAAAATTTGGAGACAAAAAGTAGACTAATGATTGCCCACAGGTGGAATTAAATTAAGATTTAAATTAATTGTAAATGAATGTGAAGGATCTTACTGGAGTGGTTACAATATTCTAAAACTGGTTTATGATAATGGCTGCACAGCTCAGTAAATTATTAATAAAACATCACTGAATTGTACATTGGAAATGGGTGAATTTTAACATATGTAAAATATACTTTAATAAAGTTGTAAAGAAAAAAAAAGACATTGTCTAAAAGAAAAGACAGGGCAATAAAGCTCTCCTTACCATGTTCTTTCATAGCCTCCTTCCCATCGCTTAGTTCTTTCAGGTTCTTCATCCATTTTTTTCAAAACTGTATTTTATTATTCAATAATCTGTAAAAACCATTAGAATGTAAGTTATCTAAAGATGTTTGTTACAAAATTCATCCAATTAAATTTGAAAATTAGACACATATATAAAGTAAAAAAAAATGGAATGCCAGGTCATCTTATTCTTTGTATTTTACTCAATAATTGTCTTAAAAATCTTCATAGAACTCCATTTCTCATTTCCAAGAAATAATATGAACTTATACACAAACTTGGTACCAATAAAAATAAGCGTCTTTTTACGATTTGTAAAAGAACAAAAATGCTTTATAGATGTGTCACATGACAAACTGTAGACTTGTGAGGAGTCAGTATGGGCGTAGTTGAACTATTATAGCTGAGTGACATGTGATTCATTGTACTATCTCTCTGTGTATGTCTCAGTTTTCTCATAATCAAAAGTTTTTAAATCACATTTATTATTTATAAATGGGTAAATGCTATAGCTCATAATTCAAAAAAAAAGGACACAAAATTAAACATAGTTCTTTGAGACATCTCCAAACTGCTTTCCATAGTGGCTGAACTAATTTACATTCCTACCAACAGTGGATAAGCATTCCCTTTTCTTCACAACCTTGCCAACATCTGTTATTTTTTGACTTTTTAATAATATCCATTCTAACTGGTGGTGAGATGGGTTTGTGGTTTTGATTTACATTGTGGTTTTGGTTTGCATTTCTCTAATGATCAGTGATGTTGAACATTTTTTCATATATTTATTGGACACATGTATGTCGATCCAACAATCCCAATACTGGGTATAAACCCAAAGGAAAATAAAACCATTCTACCAAAAGTACAAGAGCACTCATATTAATCACAGCACTATCCAAAATAGCAAAGACATCAAATCAACTTAGATGCTCATAAATGGTGGACTGGATAAAGAAAATGTGGTACGTAATATATCATGGAATACTAGCAGCCAAAAAAACAACGAAAAAAAAACACAATGAAATCCTGTCTTTTGCAGCAACATGGATACAGCTGGAGGCCATTATCCTCATTGAATTAACACGAACAGAGGCCCAACGCAATGGCTCACGCCTGTAATCCTAGCACTTGGGAGGCCAAGGCAAGTGGATCACCTGAGGTCAGGAGTTTGAAACCAGCCTGGCCAACATGGTGAAACCCTGTCTCTACTAAAAATAGAAAAAAATTAGCCAGATGTGGTGGCGAGCACCTGTAATCCCATCTACTCAGGAGGCTGAGGCAGGAGAATTGCTTGAACCCGGAAGGCAGAGAGGTTGCAGTGAGCCGAGATCGTGCCACTGCACTCTGGCCTAAAAAAAAACAGCAACAGAAAACCAAAGACGGCATGTTCTCATTTACGAGTGGAAACTAAACACTGAGTACACGTGGACATAACGATGAGAACAACAGACATTGGAGACTATTAGACAGGGAAGGATGGGAGAGAGTGAGGGTTGAAAAACTGCCTATCAGGTACTATGTTTACTACCAGGGTGACGGGATCATTTGTATACCAAACCTCAACAACAAGCAATTTATCCATGTAACCAACATGCACACGTACTCCGTGAAAATAAAAGTTGAAAACAAAACAAAACAAACAAACACAGGCCAGGGCCAGGTGCAGCGGCTCCATCCCTGTAATCCCTGCACTTTTGAGAGGACAAGGTGCGGATCACCTGAGGTCAGGAGTTCGAGACCAGTCAGGCCAACATGGCAACACCCGTCTCTACTAAAAATACATAAATTAGTTGGGCATGGTGGCAGGTGCCTGTAATCCCAGCTACTAGGGAGGCTGAGGCAGGAGAATTCCTTGAACCTGGAGGGCAGAAGCTGCAATGAGCCAAGGTCACGCCACTTCACTCCAGCCTGGGTGACAGAGCAAGACTCCGTCTCAAAAAAAAAAAAAAAAAAAAACCAGGCCAGGTATGATGGCTGACATCTGTAATTCTAGCACTTTGGGAGACTAAGGCAGGTGATCACTTGAGGTCAGGAGTTTGAAAATTAGCTAGGAGGTTGGTGGGAGCGGGCCCCTGTAATCCCAGCTACTGGGGAGGCTGAGACAAGAGGACTGCTTGAACCCAGGAGGCACGGAGGCTGCAGTGAGCCGAGATCAGGTCACTGCACTCCAGCCTGGGCAACAGAATGAGACCCTGCCTCAAAAAAGAAAGAAAAGAAAGGAAAGAAAGAGAGAGAGAGAAACGGGCACGGTGGCTCATCCTGTAATCCCAGCACTTTGGGAGGCCGAGGCCAGCAGATCATTTCAGGTCAGGAGTTCAAGACCAGGCTGGCCAACATAGTGAAATGCCGTCTCCACTAGAAATACAAAAATCAGCAGGGCCTAGTGGTGCACACCTGTAATCCCAGCTACTCGGGAGGCTGAGGCAGGAGAATCACTTGAACCTGGCAGGTAGACACTGGAGCGAGCCAAGGTTGTGCCACTGCACTCCAGCCTGGGTGAGAGAGCGAGACTCTGTCATTCATTCATTCATGCACAAATAAATGTCCTCATCACACCTCCATCCTCCCCAATGCAATCTCCCTCCCAACTCCACCACCTCGTGGCTCACTGCAACCTCCACCTCCCGGGTTCAAGTGATTCTCCTGTCTCAGCCTCCCAAGGAGCTGGGATTGCAGGCGCGTGCCACCATGCCCAGCTAATTTTTGTATTTTTAGTACAGTCAGGGTTTTGCCATGTTTTATATTTTTGTAGAGCCAGGGTTTCACCTGACTTGCCAGGCTGATCTCAAACTCCTGACCTCAAGTGATCTGCCTGTAAACAGAATATTTTTGTTTCTTTTTTTGTTTTAAGACGGAGTTTCACTCACCACCCAGGCTGGAGTGCAATGGCGCGATCTCGGCTCACTGCAACCTCCGCCTCCGAGTTCAAGTGATCCTCCTGCCTCAGCCTCCCGAGTAGCTGGGATTACAAGAGCCCACCACCACACCTGGCTAACTTTTGTGTTTTTAGTAGAAATGGGGTTTTGCCATGGTGGCCAGGCTGGTCTCGAACTCCTGACCTCAGGTGACCCACTCACCTCGGCCTCCCAAAGTGCTGGGATTACAGGCGTGAGTCACCACACCCAGCCTCAACTGAACATTTTGCTCCTCCCTGTTTTCTGTTACGTATTGTGAACTTTAAAAATGAAAAACTCGCATAACGTTCTCAACGTTTTTAAACTCAAATTCTTGGCAGGGCACACAGTGGCTCAAACCTGTAATCCCAGCACTTTGAGAGGCCAAGGCAAAAGGATTGCTTGAGTTCAGGCGCTCAGATCAGCCTGGGCAATAACCTTGTCTCTACAAAACATCAAAAAATTAGCTGGGCGAGGTGGCGAGTACTTGAGTCCCAGCTACTTGGGAAGCAAAAGTGGGAGGATGACTTGAGCCCAGGAGAGTCGAGGCTACTATGTTCACTACTGCACTACAGACTGGGTGACAGAGTGAGACCCTATCTCAAAATAAATAAAATAATTACAAATATATAATAAATATTATAAATATAAAAGTAAATAGCAACTGAGAGACTTTTGGCTGACCATATCAAAGGAATTCTTTTTTTTCTTTTTTTTTTGAGACAAGAGTCTTGCTCTGTCGCCCAAGCTTGGAGTGCAGTGACGCAATCTCGGCTCACTGCAACCTCCGCCTCCAGGGTTCAAGCGATTCTACTGTCTCTTCTGTCTCCCGAATAGCTGAGATTAAGGCACACGCCACCACAGCTAACCTTTTTATTTTTAGTAGAGACGGGGTTTCACCAGCCTGTTGGCCAGGCCTGGTCTCGAATTCCTGACCACAACTGGTCCGCCCACCTCGGTCCTCCAAAGTGTTGGGATTACAGGCATGAGTCACCACGCCCGGCTAAAAGGACTTCTTAATTAGAGCTGCCTGCAACGGGAAATCCGACTGGACAGGAGGTATTAAGGTCCCTAAAACTGCAGACGTTCAATGGGAAGTCTGATTGTAAACATGCATGCTGTTTAAGGATTCATGCATCCTGAAGATGGACTTTGTAAAGATCTCCAATGGCCTGTCACTTCCCGTCAGTCCATTTTCTTCTTAAAAATATCAGCGAGGCCAGGTGGGTGGCTCACACCTGTAATCCCAGCACTGTGGGAGGCCGAGGCGGGAGGATCACGGGGTCAAGAAATCAAGACCATCCTAGCCAACATGGTGAAACCCCGTCTCTACTGAAAATACAAAAATTAGCTGGGCGTGGTGGCACGCGCCTGTAGTTCCAGCTACTCGGGAGGCTGAGGAAGGAGAATCGCTTGAACCCGGGAGGTGGAGGTTGCAGTGAGCCGAGATCGCGCCGCTGCGCTCCAGCCTGGCGACAGGGCGAGACTCCGTCTCGAAGAAAAAAAAAAAAATTTTAAGTGATCTGTTTCCTGGAATCCAACCCCAAACAATCCACGTTCCTCAGCATAAGCCTACTGGTGTGATTCCCGTTACATGAGCTCGGAATGCTATCTGCCAACAAATGAGAGCACCAAACATCCCAATTTAAGAAGCTTTTCTTCACACCTTACCAAGCTATGTGAAACTGGCAAGGGTGATTACTGTCCTTGTTTTTCAGGTATGGGATTCAGGCTCAGAGGTTGGTCACTTTCTCAAGCGGGTCACAAACTCGAACCCTGAACCATCATTTCTAAAAGTCGCGCTTTTACTTAGGGAGAGACGGCCTGCAGCTTCCCTCCCTACTCTGCGGCTCCCCAGACGAAAGTTACCTTCCTCTGCCTTCACAAGCTCCTTCACATCCTCCTTCCCTATGAGCCCAGGCAGGGCAATTCAACCTCCGTTCCCCGCCACGAAAACGCTCCCAGCCGCCTAGCTAGCCAGACGGCCTGCCCCACCTCTGCGCCTCACAGACTTCCACACGCGGACTCACCGGCGCCGCTAGAAGGACTCTCAGCCGGAAACTCCGCCCGACACTCCTCTCCGCCGCTTTAGGGGCGCCCCGGAAGTCATTCCGCCGCGCCCTGCGGCCACGCCGAAACGTTCCGGATGCTGCAGAGTGCAGCTGCCGGAGCGGGGCGCTCAGGTGCAGGGCATGGCCTCCGCTGAGTTGGGGCGCGGAAAGGGACGGTGTTCCAGCTGGAATTCACGGAGAACCGGAAAGAGTGATCGCCATTCGCTCTCGGAAGGTCGAAGGCTCTGCAGCCATCGACCTGGGTTCTGAGGAGCTCGATCTGGTTTTTCTACTTCTAAAAGGTTGGGATGAAGGACCCTGGCCACAGAAGTAAAGCCAGAATTATCCTTGCTTCTTGCTGTGTATTTCAGGACTCCTCCATTGCTCTTGCTGTTCATTCAACAAACATTGAGCATCTACTTTGAGCCTGATGCATGTCTAAGCACTGAAGAAATAACAATGAAAAACTGTCAAAAATCCTTGCTCTCGTGGAGTTTTCCTTCTCCAAGGGGAGTCAGTATGAAGAAAAACATATACTATATGAAATGGTGATAATGCTGTGGAGAAAAACTAAGCACTGAAGGGGAAAAGTTTGCAGTTTAAAATAGGGTGGCCAGGCCGGGTGCGATGGTTCACACCTGTAATCCCAGGCATGGTGATTTGGGAGGCCGAGCGGGGGTGGATCATCGGAGGGCAGGAGTTCGAGACCAGCCTGGCCAACATAGTGAATTCCGTCTCTACTAAAAATACAAAAACATTAGCCGGGCGTGCTGGCAGGCGCCTGTAATCCCAGCTACTCGGGAGGCTGAGGCAGGAGAATCGCTTGAATCCAGGAGGCACAGGTTGCAGTGAGCCAACCTTGCACTCCAGCCTGGGTGACAGAGACTTCATCTCAAAAAATAAAATAGGGTGGCCAGAGGAGTCCTCGCTGGGAAGACAGTTAAGCCATGACCTGAATGAGGAAGGGTGTTAACCCTACTGATACCTAGGGGAAAAGCTCTTCAGACAAAGAGAGCTGCAAGTGCAAAGGCCCTGAGGTAGAAGTGCATTGGGGTCTTTGACGACTGCAGGAGTGAGCAGGGGATGAGTGGTGGCAGCTGCAATCAGAAGGGTAAGGTGGGGAGGAGAGGCTGTGAGCACTGTTAAGAACTTTGGGGGAATTGTGATGGCTTGGACCAGCAGCTGGTGAGAAGTGACTGAATTCTAAATCTTACCAATACACTGGATGTGTGTTATGAGAAAAGAATCAAGGATACCTCCATAGTCTTTAGCTGAGCAACTGAAAGGTTGGGGTTGCAATTATTAAAATGTTGGCGGGGTGGGTAAGATCAATTCAGTTTTGGACAAGTTGTCTGACTGCCAATTAACACAAGTGGAATTACTGGCATTTCCCATACTTGAGAAATGGAGAGGCAGTGCACCCCCAGATGAGAAAAGGGTTAGGAATAACACAAAGGAACTGCAGAAGCTAGGGCCTCTTTCCTTCCCCATCAGCATACTCATCCCCTCCATTGCCTTTATTTTATTGTTAAAAATTTTTCCCATCTCTGTTGTCTCCCTCAAAAATATAAACAGAAGGTATCTTGCATAGCAGTGGAAAGAACAGCCCTGGATTTAAAATCAGGCTCTGACACACTGGCTGGGTGACCTCAAGCAAGTCACAACCCAAGTCTATGAACTAATGTGTAAAATGGGGTTGTCTCCACCAACCCTGCAGGGCTTAGTGGGAACTCCATAATCAGTCTCATTTCCTCCCAGAAGACAGGATTTTAAAAGGGAGAGGAGGGGAAATTAGTATCGCAGTGCCAGGAAGCTTCCATGCTTGCCTCCCTCCCACCTTTGACCTCATTAGAGGACTCACACACAAATTCCACACTTTTCCTTTTGTGCCCTTCCTTCCTATCCACACTTTTGCTTCCTTCCATCTTAATTGACCATCCTATTTGCAAGACGGGATGCATTCCTCTAGGACAAACAGCCTAGAGGAATCCCAAGCCCCAAGTTTCTTGCATATGTTTGTTATCCATCAGCCTGGGAAGGCTTTAAGGAAAACCAGGAAAAAGATAGAGGACTCCCCAATAAATATAAAGCATATTTGCGAAGAGAGGAGACTGAAACAGTTTTCCCAACTGTAATATTTGTTCTGTATAGATTTTAGACATGGATGTTAAGATTCAACTAGGAATGGTACTACAGCAAAACAAAATATGCATAAATCCATAATCTCTTGGCATGATTATGACTGACATATTCTAATCATTTACAAAGTGGTAGAATAAATTATCTAACCTACTCAGATGTTTTTTCAACTTGTAAAACTAAAAGACAACTATAAAGAATGGATAATCTGTTCTTTGCCCATGAGTGGCCAGACACAATCAACAGGGTTAGGACATTCACAATCAGCTCAGCCAGTGGAATCAGATATAAAAAGCATGCAACTTGAAAGACTGGGAGAAGTGAACCTGTCTATTCCAATAGACAGGCTCCCTTACAGGGAAACTAAATCATTCCAGAAAGCCTCATCTAAAACCTCTGTAATTGACAACAGTATCTAACAATCGTGATCTTGATAAGTAAACTATTTGCTGTAACCTAAAGAAGCATTTGTTTATCATGTACAAATATTTAGAATGCCAATCCTGCATTCTCTGCCTAGAATTCAAAAGAATTTACATTCTAAGGCTGCACCCAGCACAGATCAATCATATGGGATTGGATGACACATGCACTTTTAAAAAACACAATTTGCTTTTAGAAAACTTGTTAAAGTTTCACCTTCTGGCTTTGGAAGATGGGGGTAGCTAGGCATATTTACTTTTAGACAAGGACTGAGTCACACATTAACTACCTTCTTAACTATGAGATTATTACAAATATATTTTTACAAATACAAAAAACTGAAGTACAGAGAGGCTAAGTTAATTTCTCCAAGGTCCCACAGCAAGTAACTGCAGAAGGGCAAAGCAAAAATAGGACAACACATGTAGGCAATACCAAGCAGTTCTTGTGGCAGCAACTGGAAACCTTTTGGAGACACCATTCTGCATTTCGTTGTAGTCATACACAAAACCCTAGTTATGTATCCATGCTTCTTTCTCATAATGCCAAAGTGGCACTATTCTAATTTACTAACAAGGTTTTCTGAAAACTACCCAAATTATTGTGGTGTTTTTGCTCACTTCTTCCCATTAGAATAAATGTAGACAATAAGAAACGCATGAGGGATGACATAGTCCTCCATCAAATCTGTCCTTTCACACAAGAGATGGCATGGTGTAGTGTAGCAGAATCATGAGCTGCCAGGAAATTATGAATTCTGATTCCTCCAGCTGAGTCTTTGAAAAAGTCCAGATGAGAAACACTTCCATCCTGATGCTGAAGCAAGGAGAATGTCCTTGTGTGAGGAATTCTCACAACACCAACTGAAGCTAAGGTCCCCGGAGCCATGATAAAAGCACTTTTCTGCCCTGATTCTTCTTTACACACATGTACCCATTCAGGTCTTTACAGATATTTCACAGGAAGCATTTATGTTACAAGTACTTAAAATGCACTCGAAATTAATATAGGATACTTTATTTACATCAGAGTGATCTCACATTATCCAATCCATTAACAAAGTCAACACAGGATGGAAGTATAGAATCTAACAGTTGAAGAGACTAAGATCCTAATCCCTTGTTTTGCCACTTGCTAGTGTGACAACAGCCAGTTAATCTATCATATCATTAGTTCCTTGTCTATAAAAGAAGAATAAGAAATGGTCACATGTCAAAAGATCGTTGTGAGGATTAAATATCATATATGTACTTATGTGTATGTAACTTATTTACTATAAATACTAGTTGACTTCACTTTATTTCAAAAAATATAAAGCACATATGACAAAACATTAACACATGTTATTTCTGGGCGGATGGTACTTATATTTTATACTTTTCTGTATTTAAATTTTTCAAAATAAAATAATGATCCTATATACTTTTAATACAAAATCACATATGTAGGGCATCACTTTATACGCAGGGAATCTTTACAAAATGAACTATGTGCTATCACAACAAACTCCTTAGAACAATAGTTTATAACAAAGCAGAATTCCAGACAAGAACTACAGGTCAGAAATGGAAGGGATGTCGGAAATCTAATCTAAACCTCTGACTTTCTAGACTAGGAAGCTGCTTGAGTGGCTTTTCAAATTTACATCCAGCTAGTTAATGCCAACGCCAACAGAAACACCCTGATCCTAGTTTCCTAAAACGGTATTTAGTATAAATACACATGAAAATTTTTCTTATTTTTGAAATTTCAAAGTCCAATTTTATAACACAATTTTACAATGCAAATTCTTGCTGTTTCACTTTCTGGATTCAGCTGAATAGTTTTGTGAAAATACTGACAAACTTGCCTTCACGAACTGACTTCCAAGAACAAATTGTTAAAACTTTAACAGAAAAATCAGTTAAAGGTGCTCATCAAGAGAGTCCTTTTCATTTGGTATAAATCCAAAACTATGAAAATACCTTTTGTATTATGTGCATGCAGAAAATTAAGAATTTATTCAATTTGCAGAAATAAATCAGTGATATAATGGAAACATTTAAAATTTTATCTCTGGAAAATAATCCAAAATCATCTATCAAAAATTATAGGCCGGGCGCAGTGGCTCACGCCTCTAATCCCAGCACTTTGGGAGGCCGAGGTGGATGGATCACCTGAGGTCAGGAGTTCGAGACCAGCCTGACCAACGTGGAGAAACCCCATCTCTACTAAAAATACAAAAAAAAATTAGCCAGGTGTGGTGGCGCATGCCTGTAATCCCAGCTACTCGGGAGGCCGAGGCAGGAGAATTGTTTGAACCTGGGAGGCGGAGGTTGTGGTGAGCTGAGATCGCGACATTGCACTCCAGCCTGTTCAACAAGAGCAAAACTCCATCTCAAAAAAAAAAAAAAAAAAAAAAAATACACACACACACACACACACACACTTAGGCCAGGCATGGTGGCTCACGCCTGTAATCCCAGCACTTTGGGAGGCCAAGGCAGGAGAATCATGTGAGCCCAGGAGTTCAAGACCAGACTGGGCAACAAAGTGAGACCCCGTCTATATTATAAAATAAAAAAATAGTTCAGAGGAGAGGTCTGGGCTAGAGATGGAAATGTAGAAGTTAGTAAATTTAAAGCTGTTGAACTAGAGGAGATAGCTGAGGAAGTGCATTCAAATAGAGAAGATGTCAGAGGAGAACTTTGGGGTTCTCTCAGTGGTTAGAGATAGGATATGAGGAAAAACAGTGCAGGAGACTAAGGAGGAGCTCTCATTGAGTTAGGAAAATCAAGAGGGATGCCCTGGAAGCCAAATGAAGGCAGTGTTTTGAGGAAGAGGGGTGATGGGCCATGTGAAAGCCAATAGGTCAAATGCTGCTAATGGGTCAACTAAAGTGAGGACTGAGAAGTATTCACCAATTTAGCAATGTGGAGCTCATTGGTGACCCTCATAAGAGCTGTTTTGGTGGAATGGAGGAGGTAAAATCCTGGAGGGGGAGAACATAAGAATGAGAGAACAGTTGACAGTGCATGTAAACAACTCTTTCACGGAACTTTGTATTTCTGAATTTTTGTTTATTTGGCTATTAATAAAATCATATCTGATATAGCTTTATTTTAGTAAGGTTTGTTTTTGTGGGACTTCAGTTGTGTATACACATATGTGTGTGTATGTATGTGCGTATGGTGTTTTGATGTAAAATTTATTATTGTGGGTCATGGTTAAAAAAAAAGCTTGAGAATGAGGAGTTAGATCAAGAAATAGAAGGAATGTTGACATAAGAAGTTGTGGATGTAGGAGATTCTACCATGTAGACACAGTGGAAGGATTTAGGGAGTTGGAGCAGGTTGGGATATGTGATCAGAAAGCGGGAGTTTAGCTCTCTCACTTGCCCCTGCTTTTACCATGTGATGTGTCTGCTACCCCTTCACCTTCCACCATGACTGTAAGCTTCCTGAGGTCTCCCTAGAAGCCAAGCAGATGCCAGCACCATGCTTCCTGTAAAGCCTGCAGAACCATGAGCCAATTAAACCTCTTTGTAAATTACCCAGTTTGAGGTATTTCTTTATAGCAGTGCAAGAATGCCCCAATACAGGAAATTGGTACCGAGAAGTTGGGCATTGCTATAAAGATACCTGAAAATGTGGAAACAGCTTTGGAACTGGGTAATGAGTAGTGGCTGGAAGAGTTTACAGGGCTCAGAAGAAGACAGGAAAATGAGGGTAAGTTTCGAACTTTTTTTTTTTTTTTTTTTTTTTTTTGAGACGGAGTCTTGCTCTGTCGCCCAGGCTGGAGTGCAGTGGCGTGATCTTGGCTCACTGCAACCTCTGCCTCCCGGGTTCAAGTGATTTTTCTGCCTCAGCTTCCCAAGCAGCTGGGGTTACAGGCATGCACCACCATGCCTGGCTAATATTTTTGTATTTTATTAGGGATGGGGTTTCACCATGTTGGCCAGGCTGGTCTCGAACTCCTGACCTCAAGTGATTCACCCACCTCGACCTCCCAAAGTGCTAGGTTTACAGGCGTGAGCCACCGCTCCCGGCAAGTCTGGAACTTCTTAGAGACTAGATAAGTGGTTGTGACCAAAATGCTGATGGTGATAGGGACAGTGAAGTCCAGGTTGACAAGGTCTCAAAAGGAAACGAATTTATTGGGAACTGGAGCAAAAGTCACACGTTATGCCTTAGCAAATAACTTGGCTGCATTCTGCTTGTGTCCTAGGGATCTGTGGAAGTTTGAACTTAAAAACTATGACCTAGCGTATGTGGCAGAAGAAATTTCTAAGCAGCAAAGCATTCAAGATGTGGCCTTCTGCTACTAACAGCCTGTGCTCAGATGTGGGGGCAAATGAATGACTTAAATTTGGAACTTACATTTAAACAGGAAGCAGAGCCTAAAAGTTGGGAAATTTTGCAGCCTAGCCAGGTGGTAAAAAAAAAAACCATTTTCTCCAAGGAATTCAAGCAGGCTGTGGAGCAACCACTTGCTGATATTTGCATAACTGAAAGGGATCCAAGTGGTAATATCCAAGACAATGGGGAAAAGGCCTCAAAGGCATTTCAGAGACCTATGGGGCAGCCCCTCCTGTCATAGGCCCTGAAGCCAAGGAGGACTGAATATTTTCCTGGGCTGAGCCCAGGGCCCTGTTGCCCTGTGCAGCCTCAGAACACTGCTCCCTGCATCCAGATGGCTCCAACTCCAGCAGGGGCTCAAAGGGGCCTAGGTACAGCTTGGGCTGTTACTTTGGAGGGCATAAGCCATAGCCTTCACAGCTTCCATTAGGTGGTAAGCCTGCAGGCACACAGAATGCAAAAATGGTGAATTCTTGGTAGCCTCTGCCTGGATTTCAGAGGATGTATGGAAAAGCCTGGGTGTCCAAGCAGAACCCTGCTGCAGGGGCAGAGCCCTCACAGAGAGCCTCTACTAGGGCAGCGTGGAGGGGAAATGTGGGGTTAAAGGCCCCACGCAGAGTCCCTACTGGGGCACTGCCTAGTGGAGCTGTGAGAAGAGGGCTACTGTTCTCCAGAATGGTAGAGCCACTGGCAGCTTGTACCCTGCACTTGGAAAAGCCACAGGCACTCAACCCAGCCTGTGACAGCAGGCTGAACTCTGCAAAGCTATAGGAGCAGAGCTGCCCAAGGCCTTGGGAGCCCAACCCTCATATCAGCGTGCCACATGGAAACCAAGGAGATCATTGTGGAGTTTCATGATTTAATGACTGCCATGCTGGGTTTTGAACTTGCATGGGGCCTATAGCCCCCTTTTTTGGCAGGTTTTTCCCTAATGGGAATATTTCCCCAACCCCTGAACCCTGATTGTATGTTGGAAGTAAATAATTTGTTTTTTATTTTATAGGCTCATAGGTGGCAGGGATTTGCCTTGTCTCAGATGAGACTTTGGACTTCTGAGTTAATGCTGGAATGAGTTAAGACTTTGCGGCACTGTTGGGAAGGCATGGTTGTATTTTGCATTGTGAAAAGGACATAAGATTTGGGAGGGGCCAGAGGTGGAATGATGTGGTTTGGATATTTATCTCTACTTATGTTGAATTTTATCCCGAGTGTTGGAGATGGGGCATGGTGGGAGGTGTTTGGATCATGGGGGCAGATCCCTCATGGCTTGGTGTTACCTTTGTGTTGTTACTGAGTTCTCGTGAGATCTGGTCATTTAAAAGTGTATGAAACCTGCCCCCTGCCCCCCCACTGTCTCTCACTTGTTTCTGCTTTCATCATGTGACATGTGTGCTCACCTTCTGCCATGATTTTAGTTTCCTGAGGCCTCCCTAAAAGCCGAGCAGATGCCAGCACCATGCTTCCTGTAAAGCCTGCAGAACCGTGAGTCAACTAAACCTCTTTTCTTTATGAAAGAAAAGGAAGGAAGGGAGAGAGGGAAGGAGAAAAAGAGAGAGGGAGAGATGGATGGAGGAAGGGAGGGAGGGCTTACAACCATGAGGACAGTTTTTAGGTCAATGAGGGATGACTTGGGAGTCCTATGAAGACTGATGTAAACTAGAATAAAGGGCATGATGAGCTTATGATTCAAAAGTATTTCGTCATAGAAATAGTTTGTTTTCTGTAAAAGAACACAGTAAATATTTTAGCTTTGTAGGCCACTGAGTCTCTGTTGCTTTAAAAAATGTGAAAACCATTCTTAGCTTGAGGGCTGGACAGTCCAGGGCCATACTTTACTGACCGCTGCTTGAACTAAACGCTGTTAGAAGCAGCTCTGGAAAAATAATTTGCATGGAATCTTATGATTTTTTTTTTTTTTTTTTGAGGCAGAATTTTGCTCTTGTTGCCCAGGCTAGAGTGCAATAGCGCGTTCTTGGCTCACTGCAACCTCCGCCTCCTGGGTTCAAGCAATTCTCCTGCCTCAGCCTCCCGAGTAGCTGGGATTACAGGAAGGCACCACCATGCGTGGCTAATTTTGTATTTTTAGTAGAGACAAGGTTTCTCCATGTTGGTCAGGCTGGTCTCGAACTCCCAACCTCAGGTGATCCACCCGCCTCGGCCTCCCAAAGTGCTGGGATTACCAGCGTGAGCCACTGCACCTGGTCAAGTATTATGGTTTTTTAATAGTATGCACACATGGGACAAAACTCAACTGGTATAAAAGGGTATGCAGGAGAAAAAAAGCAAACTTCCCTCTCTCCCTTTTCTGTCCACCAGCCATCCTGTTCTCCTCCCTAAACTCAATTATGGTTGCCTGTTTTTTATATAAGTTTTCCATGAATTTATAAATACATCACGTGCATATATCCTGTCAGTCAATATTAAGAAATTACTAGGTTATTTTGTGTTTATGTGTGCACTATTAGATTTAATGAGTTATGCTAGTTGTTGCCTCTTATATCCACATTCAGTCTTCATTGTCTGTTCTGTAATAATAGATCTGGGCCCTGTAAATACCTCTCCCATGACAGTAAGCACAGAGTGAAACTTTGTCAATCGAGGGTGCTGCTGACACACTGAAGGGGCAAGGGCTGCTTTTCCTGGTTCCATTGTGCTCCTCTAGGCAGACACCTGCAACACCTGTGCCATCTGCAATACCAGCTCCTGTAGCACATACACTCTGCCTCTGCAGCACCTCGTTCTGGCTGCACACTTCTTGGGCGGTGCCTAACTTCAGCAGCACCCAATGGTCAGCAGCGCACAGTACCCCCACATGAATGGCTTCCCTTGACATGCACAAGGTCCCTTCTCTGCAAAGTGCCCCAAGCCCAGCACCTTCTCCAGCTGCAACTCCACAGCCTCAGCAAACCTCTGTCTTTCACAGCTGTGTCCTCTCACACGAAGTCTGGATCTCAGCCCGGATCTCAGCCCTGAGCTTTCTTCTTTGAGTTGTTCTGTCTCAGCCTGGGGTGAAAAGCCCATATCGGCTGTTCCCTGCATCTGCCCAGGCTTCTCTTTATTCCTTACTACCCAATCCCCATTCCAATCCTCTGTTAATAACTCTTACGGACAGTCCCCAACTCATGATGACTTGACTTAGGATTTTTCTACTTTGCAATGGTGCAAAAGTGATCCGCATTCAGTAGAAACTGTTCCTCAAGTACTCATACGACCTCTATTTTTCACTTTCTGTACAGTATTCAATAAATTGCGTGAGATTTTCAATACTTTATTATAAAATAGGCTTTGTGTTTATGATTTTGCCCAACTGTAAGCTAATATAAGTGTTCTCAGCGTGTTTAAGGTAGGTCAGGTTAAGCGATGATGTTTGGTAGTTTAGGTATATTAAATGCATTTCTGACATACAATATTTTCTACTTACAATGGGTTTTTCAGGATATAACCCTGTTGTAAGTTGAGGAGCATCTTATTTTATTTATTTATTTATTTATTTGAAATGGAGTCTTGCTCTGTCACCCAGGCTGGAATGCAGTGGCACGATCTTGGCTCACTGCAACCTCTGCCTCCTGGGTTCAAGCAATTCTCCTGCCTCAGCCTCCCAAGTAGCTGAGACTACAGGTGCACACCACCATGCCTGGCTTTTTTTTTTTTTTTAATTTTTTTTTGTATTTTTAGTAGAGACAGGATTTCACCATGTTGGCCAGGCTGGTCTCGAACTCCTGACCTCAAGTGATCTGCCCACCTCGGCCTCCCAAAGTGCTGGAATTACAGGCGTGAGCCACTGCGTCAGGCCGAGCATCTGTATATTAAACTTTCCCCATTCAAATTTCTGTGTGGTTTCTGTCTCCTGACTGGATTCTGATATAATGCTTAACAACCTTTCTAATTACAAAGGTATTACATATAAAATCAGACAAGCAAGAAGACAATCCATCCCACCTTCTAGTACTCTTGCCCTCCAGAGGTAGCTCCAGTTAATATTTTAGTGCTAAACTAGATTTATTTTTGTTTTAAATAGAAAAATAATGCAGGCACGAAAGTAAAACAAAAAACAGTACAGAATGGGAGAGACTGAAAAGTAAGAATGGCTTCCAGGCCCACTTCCTAGAGGTACGCACTATTAACATTTTTAGATATAAACTTCCAGAAATTTTTTTCCAGTTTTATTTAGGTATAATTGACAAAATTATTTATATTTCAGTTGTACAACATGGATGTTCAACATGTTTTGGTGTACATATACTTTCTGATATTATAAATGGTTACCACAAGCAAGCTCAGTAACATATTCAGAAATTCTTAATGTAGCTAGCAATATAAGTGGTTTTGTTTTTTGTTTTGAGACAGACAGGGTCTTGCTCTGTTGCCCAGGCTGGAATGCAGTGGCGCCATCTTGGCTCACTGCAACCTCTGCCTCCCGGGTTCAAGCAAGTCTTGCGTCTCAGCCGCCCTAGTGGCTGGGACTACAGGCATGTGCCACCACACCTGGCTAATTTTTGTATTTTTAGTAGAGATGGGGTTTCACCATGCTGGCCAGGCTGGTCTCGAATTCCTCACCTCAAATGATTCGCCCGCCTCAGCCTCCCAAAGTGCTGGGATTACAGGTGTGAGCCACCGCACCCAGTCATAAGTGGTTTTCTAAACAAATGAGACCACACCATACATACTGTCCCTATATTTCATACTTGGGCAAGGGGAGGGGAGTTGACTTTTTTCTTAGTGAGAATAAAAATGAGGATAAAAGTATGGTTGTTTACCAACTTATAGTAGTATCATGAATTTCGAATGGTCTTCTGGCCGTTCAGAAAACTACTTAACTGGTAGGAACGAAATTCTGGACACTGACATTGATATAGACACTCATATCAAATATAATACTATGAAATACTATGATATGGAAATAATATGCAATCACTAGAGATAAAATATTTTCTACCCAAGTAGAGTGGATTCATAAGAAAATTCTAAATTATAGCATATGTTGAACTCTGAGAAGCCTCTGGAATGAAGTCATTTTTCCCTAACCCCTGTTTCCTCTTTATATTGGCAGTGGATAAATGGAAAGTAAGTTAACTCTACTGTACCAAAGCTAGTTCAATATAGAAAACAGGTTCTACAAGGATTAAGGAATATTCTACAAGGATTAAGGAACATCTCTTGGCCCACAGAAGATTCATGTGGTTCCTGTGTTAAACCCGTTTCATCCATGTATGAAAGTGATTCAACCGTTAAGTTAGCCATTTATTATATAAATTGAATACTTCTTCCATATTGTGGCTTTTAGATAGATTGGCAGACCTGTCCCCAACCCCTTCCCTGTTGACCATGGACAATGGAGGGTTAGCTGTATAAACTTGATTGAAGGGTTTGCCTTTAGCTGGGGTGGATTACTCAGGGACCTCAAAGGTATTGGTGATGATTTATTTCTTGAGCTTGGTGGTGAGTATGCAGGACTGTGTTTTGTTTTGTTTTGTTTTTTAGCAAGCCTTACACATTTTCTTTTGTATGCAATATTTAATAAAATAATTTTGGATAATTTGGTTTTTAGCATTAATCAACAACTTTTTTTACATCCTCAATATGCCCCAAGACAAATTATTGATTCAGCAGTTTTTAGCTGAATCTTTTATTTCTGAATGATTGGAGAGAACGGCAGTATCCATTTCTGGAGAATAGTTAAGTACTTAGATTGAGGATGTCTTTCTCATCACAGGCTGGTCTCAAACTCCTGGACTCAAGTGATCCTCCTGCCTCAGCTTCCCAAGTAGGTGGGATTACAAGCACGTGTCACTGTGCCCAGCTTAATATAATATTTTGAAAATATCTCCTTAAAAACCCCAAAGAGCTGATGGGTTAATAAAGAACCACCTGGCAAAAATCTAAGGGAGAAGCAGAAACCAAAGAAGTACAGCCAAGCCTAAAGCACTGACGCCATTGTGCTGAGAGTTTCACCATCCTGGACAAATATGAGCTTCTCTTTTGGTCTCACAGGAGGTCACATGCCAAGGCACATCATGCCTACAAACCAGACTAAATTGGCAAGTCACAGTGGCTCACGCTTGTAATCCCAGCATTTTGGGAGGCCGAGGTGGGTAGATCACTTGAAGTCAGGAGTTCGAGACCAGGCTGGCCAACATGGTGTTCAGTGTTTACTAAGTTAAGGAATGATGGTGCCTAAGTCATTTAGCTAAATGATGTATTTAAGAAAGATGGCTGCACCGTTTTCCATGAACTATTAGGATAGGCTGGTGAGAAACAGGGAAATACTTCCAATGACTACGGATTAGCAGATTTCCTTCCTGCTGAGCTGCCAGATCTGTAAGTTGCAATGTAAGACCAGCCTAACCAAAAACAAAATAAAATAACCCTACAAATTATTTTGGAGTGGCAACATTATATTAGGGATTTCTTTTTTTTTTTTTTTTTTTTCTGAGATGGAGTTTTGCTCTTGTTCCCCATGGAGTTTTACTCTTGTTCCCCAGGCTGGAGTACAATGGCGCGATCTCGGCTCACATTGCAATCTCTGCCTCCCAGGTTCAGGTAATTCTCCTGCTTCAGCCTCTCAAGTAGCTGGGATTACAGGCATATGCCACCATGCCAGCAAATTTTTGCATTTTTAGTAGAGGCAGGGTTTCACCATGTTGGTCAGGCTGGTCTCGAACTCCTGACCTCAGGTGATCTGCCCTTCTCGGCCTCCCAAAGTGCTGGGATTACAGGTGTGAGCCACCAGGCCCGGCCTATATTAGGGATTAAGAACTCAGATTTTGGAGTCAAAATTCCTGTATTTGAGTCACAGATATACATTTCCTTAGCTGGATATTACGAATTACTTTATCTCTTTATGTCTCAGTTTTCCCAGCTACAAAATAGCATTAATAATAGTACTTTACTTTCGCCAGGCACAGTGGCTCATGCCTGTAATCCCAGCACTTTGGGAGGCCGAGGCGGGAAGATCATGAGGTCAGGAGATCGAGACCATCCTGGCTAACACGGTGAAACGCCGTCTCTACTAAAAATACAAAAAATTAGCTGGGCGTGGTGGCAGGCACCTGTAGTCCCAGCTACTTGGGAGGCTGAGGCAGGAGAATGGTGAACCTGGGAGGAGGAGCTTGCAGTGAGCCGAGATCGTGCCACTGCACTCCAGCCTGGGCGACAGCGCGAGACTGTCTCAAAAAAAAAAAAAAAAAATAATAATAATAATAATAATAATAGTACTTTACTTCATAGAGTGGGTATGAAGACTGAGTTCATATTTGTGAAGTGCTTAGGATACTTCCTAGTGTGTAGTAAAGGCTCAATAATTACAAACAGCACTCTGCTTTCTTAATGAGAAAGAGTGCTATTCCTCACAATTTACCATGGATACAGGCTACACCCTTAGAACCACAGGCACTTTAACTCTTAAATAAATTATTGGCCAAGTAGCTTTTCCAACTTACGTAAACACAAGTATATTAAAGTGCCATCCTTACCTAGTTTGGAAGGATCATACTCAGCTGAAATTTGGATCAATAATTTCTCCATATGGTGGAAGTTTGGAAATTCTTCAGGAATGACTGAAAAAACATTTATATTGCCCTCCAGATCCACAGACAGTTCTTTCAGGCACAGGAACTTATCCAGATTAGGAAAGATTTGGTCTGGAAAGCAGCACAGTTTCCCATTATTAATCTAAAGAGTTCTGAATGGACATTTTAAAACTGTCATTTTGATTCATCCAGCTATTTTCACATGCAAACCTTCCACATACCATAAAACATTCTTTTTTTTTTTTAAAGAATACATATATGAAGATATTGCTTTTTGCAGCTTATGCACTGTATGGGAAGCCCTGTGCTACTCTTCAGACTCACAAAAAGAAATACAGCATCTCGGCTAGGCGCAGTGGCTCATGCCTGTAATCCCAGCACTTTGGGAGGCTGAGGCGGGCGGATCACGAGGTCAGGAGTTTGAGACCAGTCTGGCCAACATAGTGAAACCCCGTCTCTACTAAAAATACAAAAAAAAAATTAGCTGGGTATGGTGGTGTGCATCTGTAATCCCAGCTACTCAGGAGGCTGAGGCAGGAGAATCACATAAACCTGGGAGACGGAGGTTGCAGTGAGCCAAGATCGCGCCATTGCACTCCAGCCCAGGCTACAGTGTGAGACTCCGTCTCAAAAAAAAAAAAAAAAAAAAAAAAGAAGAGAAAAGAAATATAGCATCTCTTCAACAAACGGTTGGGGACAACTGGATTTGCACATGCGAAAGAATGAAGTTGGATTCCTATCCCTCACCATGTAAAAAAAATCAACTCAAAATGGATCAACGACCTAAATATAAAAGCTGAAATCACACAACTCTTAGAAAAAACATAGGAGTTAATCTTCATGACCTTGGATTTGGCAATGGATTCTTAGATAGGACACCAAAAGGACCAGCAATAAAAGAAAAAAACAGATAAATTGGACTTCGTCAAAATTTAAAACTTTCGTGCACAAAGGACATTATAAATAAAGTAAAATGACAACCTATGGAATGGGAAAAATATTTTCAAACTGTGTATCTGATAACAGGTTGAAATCCAGAATATACAAATAACTCTTACAATGCAACAAAAACAACAACAATTTTTAAATGAGCAAACAGATATTTTTTCAAAAAGTGAAAAGATACTTAACATCATTTTCATGATTTGCATTAGAGAAATGCAAATCAAAACCACAATGAGATACCACTTCACAACTACTAGAACGGCTTTATGATAATCACAAAACAAAATGGGCTGGGTGAGGTGGCTCATACCTGTAATCCCAGCACTTTGGAAGGCCAAGGTGGGTGGATCATTTGAGCCCAGGAGTTCAAGACCAGACTAGGGGCCAGGCACGGTGGCTCATGCCTGTAATCCCAGCACTTTGGGAGGCCGAGGTGGGTGGATCACCTGAGGTCAGGAGTTCAAGACCAGCCTGGCCAACATGGTGAAACCCCATCTCTACTAAAAATACAAAAATTAGCTGGGTGTGGTGGCGGGAGCTTGTAATCCCAGCTACTTGGGAGGCTGAGGCAAGAGAATGGCGTGAACCCAGGAGGCAGAGCTTGCAGTGAGCCGAGATTGCGCCACTGCACTCCAGCCTGGGGGACAGAGCGAGGCTCCATCTCAAAAAAAAAAAAAGAAAGAAAAAGAAAAAAGACCAGACTAGGCAACATAGCAAGAATCTGTCTCTACAAAAAATAAAAAATTATCCAGGCACGGTGGTGCATGCTGGTAGTCTCAGCTACTCAGGAGGCTGAGGCAGGAGGATCACCTGAGCTCAAGAGGTTGAGGCTGCAGTGAGCCATGATTGCACCACAGCACTCCAGCTTGGGCAATAGAGCGAGACACTGTCTGAAAAACAACAATGAAAACAAAAACAGGTCGGGCACTGTGGCTCATGCCTGTAATCCTAGCACTTCGGGAGGCCAAGGTGGCTGGACTGCCTGAGCTCAGGAGTTCGAGACCGGCTTGGGCAACATGGCGAAACCCCATCTCTACTAAAAATACAAAAGTTAGCCAGGTATGGTGGTGCACACCTGTAGTCCCAGCTACTCAGGAGGCTGAGACAGGAGAATTGCTTGAACCCGAGAGGTGGAGGTTGCAGTGAGCCAAGATCTCGCCACTGCACTCCAGCCTGGGTGACAGAATTAGACTCTGTCTCCACAAAAACAAAAATTAACAAGTGCTGAAGAGGATGTGGAGTAATTGGAACCTTTGTACATGGATAGTGGGAATGTAAGATGGTGCAGCTACTGTGCAAGTTCCTCAAAAAGTTAAACATAGAACTACCATATGAATCAGCAATTCTGCTTCTAGGTATATACCCAAAATGATTAAAAGCAAGAACTTAAACCGATACTTATAATGCCAGTGTTCATTGCAGCATTATTTATGATAGCCAGAAGGTAGAAACAACCCAAGTGTCTCTCAGCAGCAGAATGGATAAACAAAATGTACTATATACATACCATGGAATATTAGCTATAAAAAGGATGAAGTTCCTTTTCAAAGTTGATACATAATAATTGTACATATTTATGGAGTACATGTGAAGGAATGAAATTCCAATATAGGCTACAACATGATGTACCTTGAACAGTATGCAAAGTGAAATAAGCCAGACAAGTGATAATGCTTATAAACAATATCTAGAAGAGGCAAATTCATAGAGACAGAAAATAGAAGAGAAGTTATCAGGGGCTGGTGGGAGGGAAGATTTTTTTTTTTTTTTTTTTTTTTTTTTTTTTTTGAGACGGAGTCTCACTCGGTAGCCCAAGCTGGAGTGCAGTGGCATGATCTGGGCTCACTGCAACCTCTGCCTCCCAGGCTTAAGTGATTCTCATGCCTCAGCCTCCCGAATAGCTGGGACTACAGGCGCATGCCACCACGCCCAGCTAATTTTTTGTATTTTAGTAGAGACGTGGTTTCACCATGTTGCCCAGGGTGGTCTCAAACTCCTGAGCTCTGGCGATCCACCCTCTTCGGCCTCCCAAAGTGCTGGGATTACAGGCGTGAGCCCCCGCGCCCGGCCCAATTTATTGTTTAATTGGGATGATGAAAAGGTTCTGGAGATGGATAGCGGTGATGGTTGTACAACATAGTGAATGCTTAATGCCACTGAGTTGTACATTTAAAATGATTAAAATGTAAGCTTTGTTACATGTATTTTACCATAATAAAACAGTACTTGAAAAAAGATGAAAAATTTTCTAAATTTGGTAAATGTCAACCCACACATTCCAAAAAAGTTCAGTGCACCTCAAGCAAGATACATACAAAGCAAAGCACACCTAGGCATATAACAGTCAAACTGCTTAAGACCAAAGCAATACTAGCAACAATTAGAAAATGAAAAAATATTTTTAATGACATTTACAATACTTTCAAAAGATATGAGTATCTAGGAATAAATTTAATGAAAGATGGGTTAAGTCTACACTGAAAACTATCAAATAGTGCTTAGAGGAGTTAAGACACAAATAGATGAAGATATTATTTCCCATTAATTTATTTATTTCCCAGGGACTACAGGCCTTTCTTCCTTTAGGCAGCTAGGGTGAAGGTAATTTCTAAGCATCATCTTACATATAGCTAATTCTTTTACTAATAACAGATAATTCATGTCTTTATTAAGAACCTTCAATAATTTAATATAAATATTTTATTCATTTTGTCTGAGTTATTTGAAAACCATTCTATTATTCAAGGACTTTTCACTAATTCATGCTACTGTCAAAAAAAATTAGTGAAGGTTTATTTTATATCTGTTCTATCAATGAGCATGCATGCTTTCATGGCCTCAGAAGTTTTCAACCACTTAAAGTAAGAAAAAGAAATTATACATCAGAATAGTCATCCAAAATATATACAGGTATACCTTGTGACTGGATTGTCCCTGAGACTTCAAGAGATTCCAGGGAAGGCAGGGTGAGAAGCAGTTCCTGTTCGGCTGCGCTGAGTTCCAACTTGCTTATGGAGCACTTGGTGACAGAGGCCTTAGACAGCTCAAGAGCTGGGCGGATGCTTTCTATAAAGCCTCTGCTGTGGTTTAAATGGAGTTCGATGCGCTGTGAAGCTGAGAAAACTGTCATTAGAATCTCAAGCATATCCTGGCCTACAACATCAATATCATTCACATCGACTTCTAGACAGGGAATCTTGTACTGCTTTGGAGAAAGTTTCCAATAGCCAGTACTAAGGTCTGGTGATGCCCTGCGCTGCATATCCATATAGCTCTTTACATTATCCTCTTTTTCAGCTAAATTTCGCTCCCATTCATTCATAGGTTCAAAGGCAGAAGCATAGTCCTGATCTATAGTTGGCACCTGTGATTTGTCAAAACATGTTTCCAGAACTGAAAAATGTGCTCTGGGTGATGTCTTATTTCCTCGTATTGAGAAGTGGATGCTCCTCAACAATGACAAGCTTTCTGGGTGGTCGAAAAAGTACTGTAAGTTAAGCGCACCCAAAGTCAGTGTTCTCCCTTGAAGGAATTGCAAAACAAATGGAGAACACGCAGCAACAGTGTTGCTTTGATAAGCAGTTTTCAGGGCAAGAACCAGTAAATGTTCTGAAACCATTGAAAAGTAAGCTTGTGGACAAATTTGCCACAATCCCCTAAGTAACTGCATCTGCAGTGAAATTTCTGGCTGGTGCTTTAAGTAGTCATCATTTTCAGATATATTCTCCAATGACTCTTTGTTATCCACTAAATGGAGCAAATGAGACACAATTTTGGGCCCTGCTTTTGTTGAAGGGAGGCTGGAGACATAGTTCAAAAAATTGTTGTAGGCGCTTACAGTCATCATGGGTGAGTTGATTTGTTTCAAATGATACAGTCCCAAATCTTGATGTTCCTGCCTATCTGAATCCAGGAGTTCAATCAGCCTCATCCCCGCAAGAAATTCTTGGAAGGCAGGACTTAAAAACCGGTAGAATGGTCTTAGTCTCTGGGCTGTAAATTTGCTCATCAAGCACATGGTTAGATCTTCATCTTCATCAACCCCTGCTTCTGCGAGATCATCATCATTAAACTCAAAGCAACATGAAAAAAACCCTTTCAAGGCCAGCTCACCACAGGAGGACACAGTTGCTTTGAGAATTTCAGCTGTCGCTTTGTTCCTTAAGGAAAGGCGTTCCATATAGGACTTGAAAACAGCCACATCATCAAAGGATGGGTCAAAAGGATACTGAAACCAATGAGCACAGATCGCCGCCACAAAGAGAGGAGTTTTCTGTATCTTCTGCAAACTTTGGTTCTTTCCAAAGTAAACCATAAACTTTCGCAGACGAGTCATATTATGTGAAAAGAGCTTCCGTAATATACAGACAGTATTATAAAAGGGAAATGCTTTGATCTCTAGAATGGTCTCTAGGTATCGGCGGATGTCCCTGGCCCTGTTTGTACGGACAGCAATCAATAGGCAGGTCCGGGATAAGTGGTTTTTTTGAATCAGTTTTCCTATGACTTGAGGGATTGAACATATTTCTTTGTAGTCATCTAAAAGGAATAAGACCTGATTCTTTAACTGCTGGATAATGTTCCTCATGCACATTTCAGTAACAGATCCTTCTTTCTCTAGGAGCTGGTCACAGATGATACTGGCCAGCCCCTCGTCTGGTCTGGTGGAACTAAGGGAGAGGTAGAAAACCAGCTGGAACCTGTTTAACAGGGGACAGCATCCAGATGCCCACAGAAAAGCTATTTTCTTCAGGAGGACCGTCTTTCCACTTCCAGCTTCACCCTCCACACACATGACAGAGTTCAAGTTGCCAAAGACCTCAGGCAGCACCAGAGGTTCTTGCACAGGTTTGCTGATGTGTTTTGAAGCAATAGACAGATCACAGCCCAGCAAGTGGTCCGTGGCCAGATCGGAAGAGATATCAAGCAAAGACGTGGCGGAAACTGGCGCTGGTATAAGCTGCTCTCAGCTGCTCATTCAGATTCTTTGCCTCTTGAAACCACTGGGCTTCACCCTGTGCCATTTCTGTGGAGAGAAAGAAAGGGGGGCACAACAGGGATTCATAGTCACATCTCCCTCAGTCTGAACGCCATGCCTTTTCATTCCATGATTCTGCCTGTCTACTACGAATGTGTTAGGATTTTCCACAGCCATCCATGATTCCCACATTGCGATCATCTCATAGGTTTTGGCACAAAATCGGAATGTGGGAAGCATGTGTCCAAAGTGCCACACTTGAAGCAGGGACCTAGACATAATGTGTGCTTATCATAAGCACCATGCATCTCAGGAAAGAGGCCAGGCAAAGTGACTCATGCCTGTAATCCCAGCACTGTGGGAGACCGAGGCAGGCGAATTGCTTGAGCCTAGGAGTTCAAGACCAGCCTGGCCAACATGGCAAAACCCTGTCTCTACAAAAAATACAAAAATTAGCCAGGTGTGGTGGCACATGCTTGTGGTCCCAGCTACTGGGGAGGCTGAGATGGGAGGATCACTTGAGCCTGGGAGGTCGACGCTGCGGTGAGCCATGATCTTGCCATTGCATTCCAGCCTGGGTGACAAAGTAAGACCCTGTCTCAAATAAAATAAAATAAAATAAAATGAATAAAAATAAAAATCTCAGGAAAGAAGTTTACTGATTGGTGCTTCTAAGGACTGGTTTGCTTGTACCTGAGACACGTTGCCTACTATCAGTTTGGTCCTGCCTGCACTCTGGAGAAGCCACAAGAATCTTGACTTTTGCTCATACACGACACTGTTGCAATGCTGCTCCTCTTTGGAAGCTCTTTGGACAATTATAAATACTCTTTTTTTTGCAACTGCCCTGTATACAAATATATTTACAAATACATATAATCCCACGTGCTACTTCAAAGTTCTTACCTGGCACTATAGGACCAACTGCTATTGAATCTTCAAGATTGCTTTCACTTGTGGTTTCCTTTGAAAAATAAAATCTTTTCTTAAATCAAAATTTGTATAGGAGAGTGGTGCATCATGTTGTAATCATTGGAGACTAAACATCTTCTAAACACAGCCCACCCTCAAATATTTATGCTGATTGAAGGGAGGGGTGCTCCAAATATAAAGCAATTAATAATCTGCAAACATCTGCAGGAATGTGTGTTCCTCAGTGGTTCATATATGATACAATCCATGGGTGATACTATCCAGGTAACGAGAATCATAGTGTCTTGAGCAAGAAGGTTCCTCCAAAAGTCATTAGGTGCAGCCTCTGTCCTTGGTTAACTACATTTTTAATATTACACATCCAGTACTTAGAAAGGTTATGTTTCTTCCTTAAAAAATAAGCTATTTCTATATCCCCAAACTTTTTTCTTTAGTGCCATTTTTCAATTCATATAGAAAATGAATCACGTGAATAGCAAGTTGGTTTTTGTGTGTGTTGGGGGTGGGGGGATGACAAACATAACATACCTAACACACAGCCTCAAAATAAGGTGGTATATGTGTGCATTAAATTAGTAGTGGCTTATATCCCAGAGAACTAGGTAGGATTTCTCAGCTTAAAGTGGTCAGCCTATTACCTGGGTTTATGATTTTGTTGGGCACTTGCTTTTGTTAAAGTAACATCTTCTCAACCCCTAAAAAGGCCAAGTAGCAAATCCAGCCTTATTGCCCTCCACATGAAGATCCAGAGAGGATCCATTTAGCCTGGATGCTAATCAACAAAGTCTAAGAGAGTCTGGGCCTTGAAGTAGAAGAGATTGACTATACATTTCATGAAGCTAGGTATTGTGCCCGACTGGTTTATTGTGATTTCCCCAATCTGTACCTAGAACATAACAGATGTTTAGTAGATGTTTGTAGAATTTATTAACTTATTTATGATGAGACATTCCTGTTCAAAACAGTTTTCAATTATATGATCATGTGCTGGTAAAACAGACAAGATGACGGTGTTCATTACCAGTAATTCACAAAGTTCACCACGGCTCTGAAGGTCTGGAGTCACTTCCGCAGAGGACTTCATATTTTGGAGAAATGGACAACTAAGTGTAAAAGTTAAAAGTTATAAAAATAGTTGTATGCATTTAAGTATTTGTGTTAGGTATTTTTGTTGTTGTTGTTGCTGTTGTTGTTTGTTTTGTTTTTTCAGAGACAGGGTCTCACTATGTTGCCCAGGCTGTTCTGGTTTCAAACTTCTGGCCTTGAGCAATTCTCCTCCCTAGGCATCCCAAAGTGCTGGGATGATAGGTGTGAGCCGCCAGGCCTGGCCTTGTATTAGGTTTTTAAAAACACTATTAGAGTTTTAGTGACAAGAATTAAGTATAAAACTATCATTTCCAGTGATTCTCTCTGTCAGTGTCATCAGGTAAGGCACTTAGGTTGTGGCTCTCTGCAAGAGAAATGTAAATGGTTTATAAAGTAACGGTAAAGGATATCAAGGGAATTTGGTGGAATGAGTGCGTATATGACACTCCTCCATGCAACCAACAAAAATGAACTTAAAGAATCAAAAATAGGAAAAAAAAAACCCTCTATTTATGAATTCTGGAACAAAAAACAACATAGTGGAAAAACTGGTGAAATCCAAATAAACTCTGGATTTTAGTAAATAGTAATGTACAGTATATGAATTGGTACACTGATGATTTTGACAAATATGCTAGTGTAAGATGTTAGCATTAGGGTAAATTGGGTATGGCAATATATAGGAACTCTTTGTATTACTTTGCACTTTCTGCAAATCTAAATAATTTCAAATAAAAATTTATTAAAAAAAGAAAAAAACTCTGTGAGTGCGGTGGTTCACACCCAAAATCCCAGCACTTTGGGAGGCCGAGGCGGGCAGATCACTTGAGGCCAGAAGTTTGAGACCAGCCTGGCCAACATGGCAAAACCCTGTCTCTATTAAAAAGAAAATTCCAAAATTAACCAGGCAGTGGTGGCGCACACCTGTAGTCCTAGCTACTTAGGAGGCTGGGGCACAAGAATCGCTTGAACCTGGGAGGCGGAGGTTGCAGTGAGCTGAGATTGTGCCACTGCACTCTAGTCTGGGCAATGGAGTGAGACTCTGTCTCAAAACAAAACAAAAAACAAACAAGGCCAGGCATGGTGGCTCACGCCTGTAATCCCAGCAGTTCGGGAGGCTGAGGCGGGTGGATCACTTGAGGTCAGGAGTTTGAGACCAACCTGACCAACATGGTGAAACCTCACCTCTACTAAAAATACAAAAATTAGCCGGGCGTTGTGGCGGACGCCTGTAATCCCAGCGACCTGGGAGGCTGAGGCAGGAGAATTGCTTGAACCCAAGAGGCAGAAGTTGAAGTAAGCCGAGATCGCACCATTGCACTCTAGCCTGGGCAACAGGAGTGAAACTCTGTCTCAAAAACAAACAAACAAACAAACAAAAAACTAACCAACCACAAACCACTCCATTGCCAGGTGCAATGGCTCATGCCTGTAATCCCAGCACTTTGGGAAGCCAAAGTAGGAGTTTCACTTGAGGTCAGAAGTTCAAGACCAGACCAACCTGTGCAACATAGAGAGACCTCCTCTAAAAATTAGCTAGCAGGGTGGCATGCATGTATAGTCCCAGCTACTTGGGGGTGCTGAGGCAAGAAGATCACTTGAGGCCAGGAGGTTGGGGCTACAGTGAGCCGTGATTGCATCACTGCACTCCAGCCTGGGTGACAGAGTAAGACCCTGTCTTAAACAAACAAAAAATTAAAAAAGAAACCCTCCGTCAGTATCAAAAGAAAAGAATGGCCACAAACATACTCTCTAAAAACTACTTGCCAATCTCGTGAAACTAGGACGCAAATACCCTCTAAACTCAGGTTTGATGTATGCTTGAAGAACAAGAGAGAAAGTTCAAAAAGAGCTCTAGTTGCAATTATTAAAATGGACAGATGAGAACTATACATGTGAGTAAGTCAGTGGCCTATTCCATGCTGTAGAATCACTGGAGAGCAGGAGTAAAGCAAAGGGACACTTTTTTTTTTTTTTTTTTTTTGAGACAAGGTCTCACTCTTTTGTCCAGGCTTGAGGGTAGTGACACGACCAAGGATCAATGTAGCCTCCAACTCCCAGGCTCAAGTGATCCTCCCACCTCAGCCTCCCAAGTAACTGGGACTACAGGCACGTGCCACCATGCCAGGCTAATTTTTTTTTTTTCTGGGCTCAAGGTATCCTCCCACCTCAGTTTCCCAAAGTGCTGGGATTACAGGCGTGAGCCACTGCATGTGGCCCAGATACTTCATTTGTATTGCCTTCAGGTGACTTGGCGATGAGTCCAGAAATAGAAGCATAGCTTCAGGAAAACAACAAGTAGAACTTTTAACGTTTCTGTCCAAAGTCAGCCATGTAGAGGTAAATAAAAACAAACCCATAGGGAAGGGGTGAAGTGGCTTACAAAAGAAAAAAAATATTTTAATAGGCCCATCAAGGAAAAGAACTATGAAGGAAGGTAAAATATAAACTTATTCATACAAACAAATGCCAAATAAAGTCAGTTGCCAGCATAACTGCACTACAAAAAATGTGAAAGGGACCAGGCACAGTGGTTCACCCCTGTAATCCCAGCACTTTGGGAGGCTGAGGCAGGCAGATCATGAGGTCAGGAGTTCAAGACCAGCCTGGCCAACATGGTGAAACTCTATCTCTACTAAAAATACAAAAATTAGCCTGGCATGGTGGTGGGCACCTGTAATCCTAGCTACTCAGGAGGTTGAGGCAGGAGAATCACTTGAACCCGGGAGGCAGAGGTTGCAGTCAGCCGAGATCGTGGCGCTGAACTCCAGCCTAGGAGACAGAGCAAGACTCCATCTCAAAAAAAAAAAAAAAAAAAAAAAGTGAAAGGAAGCACATCATTTAAAAGGAAAATGATAGCAGATGGAAATTTGGTTCTACTCAAAGGAATGAAAAGTACCAGGAATGATAAGATAACTAAGAGGGCAAATATGAAAGACTTTTGCCGTTGTAAAAATGTACTTAAATTGTTTAAAGCAAAGATATAACATTATATTGTAAGATTTATTAAAGTACATGGAAATAAAATGTATGACAATAGCACAAAGGATGAGAGGGGAGAAATGGAAATATACTATTGTATGGTTCATACATTTTATGTCAAGTGTTATATATTTTTTTGACCCAGAGTCTCACTGTGTCACCCAGGCTGGAGTGCAGTGGCACGATCTCAGCTTTCTGCAGCGTCTGCTTCCTGGGTTCAAGCAATTCTCGTGCCTCAGCCTCCCAAGCAGCTGGGATTACAGGTGTGCGCCACCACACCCAGCTAATTTTTTTGTATTTTTAGTAGAGACGGGGTTTCACCATGTTGCCCAGGTTGCTCTGGAACTCTTGACCTCAAGTGATCTGCCTGCCTCAGCCTCCCAAATTACCGGGATTACAGGCATGAGCCACTGCACCCAGCTGTTATAATATTTTTGAAGATTACTATGATATGTTAAATAGGCATATGGTAAACTCTAGAGCAAGTAGTAAAAAGGTAAAATAAGGATTAATAGCTAATAAGCTGACAGAAATAAAATGGAGTACAAAAAAAAATACTCAAGGAGGGGGTAGAAAAAAGAAAAAAAAAAAAACCCTAAACCCTAGGAAGTCAGGAAAAGAAAAAGAAACAAAGAAGTGATGAAATAAATAGAAAGCAAATGGTAAAATAGGTTTAAATCCAACCATATTCATAATTGCATTAAATTTAAACGTTCTAAACATTCCAATTAGAAAGCAGTTATTGTCAGACTCTTAAAAAGCAAGACCTGGCCAGGCGTGGTGGCTTACGCCTGTAATCCCAGCACTTTGGGAGGCCAAGGCAGGTGGATCATGAGGTCAGGAGATCGAGACCATCCTGGCTAACACGGTGAAACCCCGTCTCTACTAAAAATACAAAAAATTAGCCAGGTGTGGTGGCGGGGTGCCTGTAGTCCCAGCTACTCGCGAGGCTGAGGCAGGAGAATGGTGTGAACCCAGGAGGCGGAGCTTGCAGTGAGCCAAGATCGTGCCACTGCACTCCAGCCTGGGCGACAGAGCAAGACTCCGTCTCAAAAAAAAAAAAAAAGAGAAAACCTGGCTGGATGTGGTGGCTCACACCTCCATCTCAAAAAAAAAGCAAGACCTGCTGGGTTCAGTGGTCCACACCTGTAATCCCAGCACTCTGGGAAGACAAGGCAGGAGAATTGCTTGTGGCTAGGTGTTCGAGATCAGACTGGGCAACATAGTGAGACCTTGTCTCTATAAAAAACTAACAAACTTAGCCAGGCTTGGTGGCATGTGCCTGTAGTCCCAGCTACTCAGGAGTCTGAGGTGGGAGGATTGCTTGAGCCTGGGAAGTCCAGGCTGCAGTGAGTCAAGACTGCACCACTGCACTCCAGCGTAGGCAACAGAGCGAGTCTGTCTCATAAACAAATAAAAAATAAAATAAAAGACCCCACTGTGTTGTTGCCTATAACAATTCACTTTAAGGCTGGGTGCAGTGGCTCATGCCTGTAATCTCAACACTTAGGGTGGCAGAGGTGGGAGGACAGCTTGAGCCCAGGAGTTTGAGATCTGCCTGGGCAACATAGTGAGACCCCGTTACCCACAAAAAGGAAAAGGAAAAAACAAGAATTGACTTTAAATATAGTCACAGATAGATTAAAAAGAAAATAATCTAAAAGATGTAACATGAAAAAACTAATAAAGGCCTAAAAAATACTATCAAGGATAAAGAGGGATATTTCTGTTTTTTAGAGACAAAGTTTTACTCTGTCACCCAGGCCACAGTACAGTGGCACAATCATAGCTCATTGCAACCTATACTCCTGAGCTCAAGCGATTCTCCTGCCTCTGCCTCCCAGGTAGCTGGGACTACAGATGCATGCTACCACACCCTGTTTGTTTTAAAAATTTTTTGTAGAAATGGAGTCTAGCTATGTTGCAAAGGCTAGTCTCAAACTCCTCGCCTTGTGCACTCCTCCCACCTCAGCCTCCCAAAGTGCTGGGATTATAGGTGTGAACCACCATGCCTGCTTGGGATATTTAATATATTCTCTGGAATATGAAAGACCAAAGGGCAAAAAAATAGCTAAGACACACTCTTGAAGAGAAAGAACAAGACTATTCTGCAGGAAAATATGAAAATAAGCTCAACTGCCAGGCGCGGTGGCTCACACCTGTAATCCCAGCACTTTGGGAGGCTGAGGTGGGTGGATCACCTGAGGTTGGGAGTCCGAGACCAGCCTGACCAACATGGAGAAACCCCATCTCTACTAAAAATACAAAATTAGCTGGGCGTGGTGGCACATGCCTGTAATCCCAGCTACTCGGGAGGCTGAGGCAGGAGAATCACTTGAACCTGGGAGGCGGAGGTTGTGGTGAGCCGAGATCGTGCCATTGCACTCCAGCCTGGGCAACAAGAGTGAAACTCCCGTCTCAAAAAAAAAAAAAGAAAGAAAAAAAGAAGAAGAAAATAAGCTTAACATTATTAGTAATTACACTGACAAAAATTAAAATTTGGGCAATACCAAGTTAGTGAGGAAGCAAATCAATAGAAACGCATCTAGGCCAATGGGAATGTAAATCAGTGCAACCACTTGGGAAAAAGCTTTGCATTATCTAGTGGAGTTGAACACCCGCAAAGTTCTATGACTCTGCAATTCTTTACTTTGTTATGTATCCTAGAGAAACACACATGAGCACTGGAAAATATGTACAAGAATGTTCATAGGGCATTATTTGAATTTGCAACACTCTGAAAACGACCCACGAGGTTAATCAACAGTAAAATAAGTTATTATATATTCATAAAATAATACACTATTTACCAATGAAAACAAGTGAACTACAACTGTGTAGTACATATAAATATGGATGAATCTCAAAAACATCGTGGAGTAAAACCAGCCAATTACAAGAAGAATCATGCAGTATGCTTCTTATTTGAACTTCAAGAATAGACAAAGCTAAATATGTTTAAGGATGTATATGTAGTTGGTAAAACCACAAAGAGAAGCAAGGGAATAATTAACCCAAACTGAGCATCACATTTACCTCTGGATTGGAGGGACAGGGATATAATCAGAATTAGGGGGTGGTTGGCATGCAGAGTTGTTTTTTGTTTTTTGATTTTTTTTTTTTGAGACAGAGTCACGCTCTGTCGCCCAGGAGTGCAATGGCGCCATCTTGGCTCACTGCAACTTCCGCCTCCCAGGTTCAAGCCATTCTCCTGCCTCAGCCTCCCTAATAGCTGGGACTACAGGCGTGTGTCACCAGGCCCGGTTAAATTTTTCTGTTTTTTAACAGAGATGGGGTTTCACCATGTTGCCCAGGCTGGTCTCGAACTCTTGAGCTCAGACAATCTGCCCACATCGGCCTCCCAAAGTGCTGAGATTACAGGCGTGAGTCACTGCACCCGGCCGCAGGGGTCTTTTAAGGCATTGATAATGTCCAATTTCTTGACTTTACTAGGAGGTTCATAGGTTGCTTTTTATTCATTCTTTAAAGCATACATAAAAATTTTAGGTAATCATTTGGAGACATACTGGTTTGCAGTTTTTTTAAGAGGCAAAGGAAGAGTAAAAATCCAAAAAGGAGTTGGCTGGGAGCAGTGGCTCATGCCTGTAATCCAAGTACTTTGGGAGGCTGAAGCAGAAGGATCATTTGGAGCCAGGAGTTTGAGACCAGCCTGGGCAACAAAGCAAGACCCCATCTCTACAAAAAAAAACTTTAAAAAATTAGTCGGGCATGGTGACACATGCTTGTAGTCCTAGCTACTTGGGAGGCTGAGGTGGGAGGATCACTTGAGCCCAGGAATTTGAGGCTACAGTCAGCTAGGATTGTACCACTGCACTTGCTCCAGCCTGGGTGACAGAGCCGAGACCCAGTCTCTTAACAAAAAAACACTAAAGGCCAGGTGTGGCGGCTCACACCTGTAATCCCAGCACTTTGGGAGGCTGAGGCAGGAGGATCACTTGAGGTCAGGAGTTCAAGACCAGCCTGGCCAACATGGTGAAACCCCGTCTCTACTAAAAGTACAAAAAATTAGCCAGGCATGGTGGGGAGGTACCTGTAATCCCAGCTACTTGGGAGGCTGAGGCAGGAGAATCGCTTGAACCCGGGAGGCGGAGGTTGCAGTGAGCCGAGATCACGCCACTGCACTCCAGCCTGGGTGACAGAGTGAGACTCCATCTCAAAAACAACAACAACAAAACACTAAAACTAATAATAATAATAATAGTATAAAAGGGAGTTGATCGATTCCAGAGTAAGTTCTAAATAAGACTAGACTGCATCCTAGCTTATCCTTCCAAGAATTAAGTAGAATGTCCCCATTGTTCTCAATAATTTATTATACACTAAGCCCAAATAAGAAAGAAAAATGAGGTAACTACTGCTATCAAAATACCTTCAAGGCAATAAAATTAGATAGAAGTATTCATTTTGTTTTATTTTTGTTTTTACCACTATACAAATGAGCAGGAAGCATTCATTTTAAAATCTGTATGTGTTCATATTCATTTCTAAAAAAAAAACTCTTACTAATTACATAGTGAAAACACAAATTTCTTCTTGCAATTAAACATTTCTAAAGAGTTTGATGGGTAAAAAAAAATTAAGTTTAAAGATTCATAGAAAAGAAATATTTCTTCATAAAATTTTAGAACAGATATTTTTCTGAAAGCTTCCAGCACAGGAAAAAAAAAAATTTTGTTTGCAGTAAAAGGATTGACAAGCAGAAAGGCATGGAACTTCTCGACAGCACATTAGGAACCAGTAGAAATGTAGCAGTGCCTCTACAATTTAGAATTAAAATGACTTCCAACCTATAATTCTACACCTAGCTAAACTATCAAATAAGTGTGAGAATACAGGAAAAACATATATCTAGATAGATCTATATGTCTGTATATGCATTATATGCAACTAAAAGTGTGTATTTCTTATGCAGTCTTTCCCAGGGAACTCCGATGAAGTGTTCCAACAAAATGAGCGAGTGAACCAAGAAGAGGATGACATTAGATCCAGGAGATACAACAGAGGAGATAATCTCCAGGATGCCTGTGAAGAAAGATCCCTGGATCCCAGGATGATTATAGGACAAGTTGTTCATAATCCAGCAGGCCAGAAGACTTCCAGGGAAACTCATTTCAAGATGAAAATGGACCAGCCGCAGTGGCTCACGCCTGTAATACCAGCACTTTGGGAGGCTGAGGCAGGCGGATCACTTGAGGTCAGGAGTTTGAAACTAGCCTGGCCAACGTGGCAAAACTCCATCTCTATTAAAAATACAAAAATTAGCCAGGCATAGTGGTGCATGCCTGTAGTCCCAGCTACTTGGGATGCTGAGGCAGGAAGAATTGCTTGAACCTGGGAGGCAGAGTCTGCAGTGAGCCGAGATCATGCCACTGCACTCCAGCCTGGGTGACAGAGCCAGACTCCGTCTCAAAAAAAAAAAGAAAAAGAAAAAAAAAATGATGACTCTTTCAAGAAATGAAAATGATGAGATATCTGGTAGGTCTGAATGACTTAAGAGGAGATTTAAACATTTGGGATAAGTTGAAGATGAGCTGGTGTTCGTCTTCATTTATTTCATTTAAATAAATAAAATTATTAATACATGAATTTTATCTCAAGAAACAAAAATAAGCAATGTACATAAAAATTAAGCAGATGGCTGGCCGGGCGCGGTGGCTCACGCCTGTAATCAGAGCACTTTGGGAGGCTGAGGCGGGTGGATCACAAGGTCAGGAGATGGAGACCATCCTGGCTAACACGGTGAAACCCCGTCTCTACTAAAAAAATAAATAAAAAATAAATTAGCCGGGCGTGATGGCAGGTGCCTGTAGTCCCAGCTACTCGGGAGGCTGAGGCAGGAGAATGGCATGAACCCAGGAGGCGGAGGTTGCAGTGAGTGAGATCACGCCATTGCACTCCAGCCTGGGCGACAAAGTGAGACTCCATCTCAAAAAAAAAAAAAAAAAAAAAAAAAAAAATTAAGCAGATGGCTATAATTTTTTTAAAAATAGAAAAGTGTTGATGAGAAATGGGAAACCTCATACATTGTTGGTCAAACTGTATGCTTCCATTTAGAGGAAATAGTCAGAACAAATAAATCCATAGACACCAATTAGGTTGGTGTATCCCAGGGGCTGGGCATGGAGTGGGGTGGAGAGAGAAGGAGGGCCTGCTTAGTGGATACAGAGTTTTCTTTGGGGGCGATGAAAGTGTTTTGGAACTAGATAGAGGGGGTGGTTGCACAACATTGTTGTTGGTGGGAATTTAAAATGGTGCAAGCACTGTGGAAAAAACAGTTTAGCATTTCCTCAAAAAGTTAAAACAGGCCAGGCGCTGTGGCTCACGCTTGTAATTCCAGCACTTTGGGAGGCCAAGCCAGGTGGATCACTTGAGGTCAGGAGTTTGAGACCAGCCTAGCCAACATGGTGAAACCCTAAAAATACAAAAAATTAGCCGGGCATGGTGGCAGACACCTGTAATCCCAGCTACTCAGGAGACTGAGGCAGGAAAATTGCTTGAACCTGGGAGGCGGAGGTTGCAGTGAGCTGAGATCGCACCGCTGCACTCCAGCCTGAGCGACAGAGTGAGACTCTGTGTGAGAAAAAAAAAAAAAAAGTAAAAACATAGAATTACTATACAGCTAGCAATATCGTTGTTAGGTATATGCCCCAGAGACTTGAATACAGTTACATGCTCCATCAGATACCTGTACCCAAATGTTCCTATCGGTATTACTCATGGTAGCCAAAAGGTAGAAACAACCCAAATATCTACAAATAGATGAATGGATAAATAAAATGCAGTGTATCCATATGGAATATTACTTGGTCTCAAAAGGAAGGAAGTACTTATGCAAGCTACAACATGGATAAACTTCAAAACAATATGCCAAGTGAAAGAATCCAAATGCAAAAGGTCAAACGGTATGCTTCCATTTAGAGGAAATAGTCAGAACAAATAAATCCATAGACACCAATTAGGTTGGTGTATCCCAGGGGCTGGGCATGGAGTGGGGTGGAGAGAGGAGGGGGGCCTGCTTGATGGATACAGAGTTTTCTTTGGGGGCGATGAAAGTGTTTTGGAACTAGATAGAGGGGGTGGTTGCACAACATTGTGAATGTACTATAATAAATGCCACAGAATTGTGTACTCTAAAATGGTTTAATTGCTGTGCATGGTGGCTCACGCCTATAATCCCAGCACTTTGGGAAGCCAGGATGGGAAGACTGCTTGAGCCTAGAAGTCTGAGAGCAGCCTGGGCAACATAGAGAGACCCTGTCTCTTAAAAAAAAAAAAAAAAAATTAGCTGGGTGTGAAGACATGTGCCTGTAGTCCCAGCTACTTGGGAGGCTGAGCGAGGAAGATTGCTTGAGCCAGAGAGGTCAAGGCTGCAGTGAGCCATGATTGCACCACTGCACTCCAACCTGGGCAAGAGAGAGAACCTGTCACAAAAAATAATAAATAAATAAATAAAATGGTTACTACCTGAATTTTACCTCAGGAAAAAAAAATAAGCTAACATACCAACAGGACAGTTATTACTTCCTAAAAAAATAAAAGGATATACAGGAAGGGAAAAATAAATAAAAATTTACCACAAGCTTCAGCTCCACATAGCATTTGTATAGTCATGATAATGTAAACATGTAATGTGAATATATGAATCTAGCCAAAACTATGCCATAACTATAAAGAGGGGAAGGCTAGTACAGGAAGGGGGTCATGGAGCAAAGGGATGAAAGACATGAAGACTCATCCTTCATAGCCTGAATCCGAGGAGTGGATAAAGACTCAATCTAAAGATAAAATAAGGCAGGAAATGAGGAAAAAGAAAAAAACTGTTGAAGTGCATCCAAAGTTGCAGATGGTTAACATTCATTCCACTCACTTGGGAAAACATCTGGTGTGATCGTCTAATGGGTCATCACCTTCCTGCCATTTCTCTAAACACCCTCCACAGGAAAAGCACTGGACGATGTCCTTTATACCTAAAAGTAAGGAAACTTGATCAGTGCCACTGGCATGGGCATCTGTCCATTAACATGCAGATAATAACCACCAGACCTGTAATAGTGAAAGCCTATTCAGTCTCCAGTTGGGTTTTGTGACAGTCAGAAGTTGGTTACCAGTGAGGCAATTTTCTATATAAGACTCTGTCCACCAATGGGGTAACTGGCAAGTAGTCATTGAATGCTCCTACACACCATGCACTTTGATGCACACCATCCCTCTGCCCCATTCTCCTTTGATCAACAAACAGATTGGCAACCAGAATCTGGAATTGAAGCTCCATGAGGGGGCTGGGCGCAGTGGCTCATGCCTGTAATCCCAGCACTTTGGGAGGCCAAGGCCAGCGGATCTCCTGAGGTCAGGAGTCTGAGACCAGCCTGGCCAACACGGTGAAACCCTGTCTCTACTAAAAATACAAAAATTAGCTGGGCATGGTGGCACATGCCTGTAATGCCAGCTACTCAGGAGGCTGAGGCACAAGAATCGCTTGAACCCAGGAGACGGAGGTTGCAGTGAACCAAGATAACGCCATTGCACTCCAGCCTGGGCAACAAGAGTGAAACTCTGTCTCAAAAAATAAAAATAAAAATAAGCTCTATGAGGGTAGAGGTTTTTGCTCACTAATGAATGACATGAACCTAGAAAAGTGCTTGACACTCATGTGGCACTCAATTAGTATTCGTTTAATGAATGAATCAGAAAGAATATATTTAGAGCTCACGGAAAAAAAAATACCAGCAAATCTAGCAGCCCTTATGTAAGTGAATGCATGAAGAATTAATTGCCTCTTACCACATTATTGCCATGTTTATTACACCAGAAATAGGATTAAGTCTCTTTGTGAAATTATATTTCTTTGGAAAGAAATTGGTATTTAGCTCTGCAAAAGGATCAAACTAGAAACAGAGCATTTCTCATCTTCCTTCCACTCTGGGAAAGCTGGGGCAGAGGAAAGCCTCCCAGAAATATGAGATCCTAGAGCTTGCAAGATCTGAAAACAGTCAGAGATGATTAGGATTTGTGTGGAGTGGTGGAGGATTGGAAAGGAAGAGGGGGAGCACACTGGTCAGAGGGGTCTTGCGGAAGGCTGACAAGAGGAAGACACAGTAGAGTAGGGAGAAATGGCAAACACTCTTTCCAAAGGCTTAAGATTGTGAGGCAGTCAGATTTTTTTTTTCCAATGGCACATGTCTGTTAGGTAGAGTGACAACTATATTCTGCTTCTCTGTGTTGCTCTATGGTATTTGTGACAACTACTTGATCTCTCAGTTAAAGATCTGCATTAACCTCCACTGTAACTTATGCATGTGTTCGGTTTGAGCAAGACCAGCAAGGTACCTAGGAACCTTTCCCTGATCATCTTGTATTTCAGGCAGAGATTTAGCTGACAGGAACCAGCCCATCATTTATAGATTGCAGAGGTGCTTCCTAATGACCAGCAGCTAAAGAGAAAATGCCACAATCTGGTGGAAGGCTCTACGTGTTTAGGAATCATGAAAATTAATTTCCTGATTTTCTCCTGCAGGCAGAATGTGGCAAAGATTGCTATCCATGTTCCTATTATCTCAAATCCTTCCATACTAATAGAAATCCCAATATTTAGCTGGGCACATTGTCACCCAGGAAAAAGATTAGGTTTCCCAGCTCCTCTTACAGCTAGGTATGGTCATCTGACTAATAATAATAATAATAATTATTATTATTATTATTATTATTTTTGAGACAGAGTTTCACTCTTGTTGCCCAGGCTGGAGTGCAATAGCATGATCTTGACTCCCCGCAACCTCCACGTCCCAGGTTCAAGCGATTCTCCTGCCTCAGCCTCCCAAGTAGCTGGGATTACAGGCACCCGCCACCATGCCTGGCTAATTCTTTGTATTTTTAGTAGAGACAGAGTTTCACCATATTGGCCAGGCTGGTCTCAAACTCCTGACCTCAGGTGATCCACCCACCTCGGCCTCCCAAAGTGCTGGGATTACAGGCGTGAGCCACCATGCCCGGCCCATCCAACTAAGTTCTGATTAAAGAAATATAAGCAGAAGTGTCCTGTGACAGTTTCTAGGAGCACTTTGTCAGGGGACAAGAGGTGAGGAGAGTAATGTGTAGAAAGAAAAGACATGATAATTATCACAAATAGAATATTTGTATTCATTGTTAGTCCAGACCTTAAGGTTTCAAATTTGAAGGTTTACCACCTAAGGGAGGAATAGAAAACTGGGAGAGGATTTATGATGCAGGAAAGAAAAGAGATGTATGCCAGGTGCAGTGGCTCACACCTGTAATCCCAGCATTTTGGGAGGCCAAGGCAGGAGGATTACTTGAGCCCAGGAGGTTGAGGCTGCAGTGAGCCATGATCTCGCCACTGCCCTCCAGCCTGGATGACCATGTCTCAAAAAAAATAGAAAGAAAAGAAAACGAATCTATAAGAAATGCTGAAGAGAGGCCTGGCGCGATGGCTCACACCTGTAATCCCAGCATTTGGGAGGCCAAGGCGGGCAGATCACGAGATCAGGAGATCAAGAGCATTCTGACTAGCATGGTGAAACCCTGTCTCTACTAAAAATACAAAAAAGTAGCTGGGCGTGGTGGCAGGCGCCTGTGGTTCCAGCTACTCCAGAGGCTGAGGAAGGAGAATCTCTTGAACCCGGGAGGTGGAGGTTGCAGTGAGCCAAGATCTGCATTCCAGCCTGGGCAACTCTGTCTCCAAGGGGGAAAAAAAAAGAAAAGAAAAAGAAACGCTGAAGCTAGTGGACATTGCTGAGTGTAGCTAAACGTAAGCCCAGGAGCATAAAGTCTATGTGGGAATTAAAGGTCAAGCAAGCAAGTGGGCACAACCTACTGACTCACCTGTGTAGAAAAGACCTGCTTTGGCCAGTGCTGCAACTCCCACAGCTGATTCCCGGGGCCAGTCCTTAAAAGAGTCCAGCCGTAGTTCTTCGTAAGCAAAGATGCTGTCATTGCAATAAGCTTGAATAAAAAGCACAAGGTGAGACCAGCAGGCTTTAGTCTTTTTTTTTTCTATATCTTTATTGCTGCTGCACAAATTAAAGAGACCAGTAGGCTTTGATATTGCAAGTATCAGCGTTCAAGTTGTCCCTTCACAGTTACAGATGGAATGATGTCTAGAGTTTGCTTCAAAATAAACGGGGCGGGGCGGGGGGGACGACAAAAAGAGATAGGGACAAAAAATCAAAAGAAGAAATAAACAAGCAAAGCCTTTGGAAAATGTTTGAGTTTTTACCTGATGCCATAGGTAATTCTCTCTGGACCCAGGAATTCACAAAATGTTCTCCCTGAGGGAAATTAAAATTCAAGTTGTTGATTATCTGACTTTTTTTTTTTTTTTTTTTTTTGAGGCAGAGTCTCACTCTGTTGCCCAGGCTGAAGTGCAGTGGCAGGTTCTCGTCTCACTGCAACCTCCGCCTCCTGGGTTCAAGTGATTCTCCTGCCTCAGCCTCCCGAGCAGTACAGGCATGTGCCACCACACCCGGCTAATTTTTTTTTTTTTTTTTGTATTTTTAGTAGAGACAGACACGATGTTGGAGGTCTTTTTTTTTTTTTTTTTTTTTTTTTGAGACAGAGTCTCGCTCTGTCGTCCAGGCTGGAGCACAGTGGCACGACCTTGGCTCACTACAAGCTCCGCCTCCCAGGTTCACGCCATTCTCCTGCCTCAGCCTCCCGAGTAGCTGGGACCACAGGCGCCTGCCACCATGCCGGGCTAATTTTTTTTTTTTTTGTATTTTTAGTAGAGATGGGGTTTCACCATGTTAGCCAGGATGGTCTCTATCTCCTGACCTCATCATCCGTCCGTCTCGGCCTCCCAAAGTGCTGGGATTACAGACGTGAGCCACTGCACCCGGCCCATGTTGGAGGTCTTGAGGCTGGTCTCGAACACCTGATCTCAAGTGATCTGCCCAGCTCGGCCTCCCAAAGGGCTGGGATTACAGGCATGAGCTACTGCGCCCAGCCTGATTGTTTGACTTATGAAGTATATACCTATCTATGAACAAGAACTGAAGGAACTTTACCCCAGAATGAAGAGTTTCACTGGATGGAACGGCAGAGTCGGAGGAGAATTATTCCTTTAATTTTTATTTCTGTTGATGTTGCAATTGTTTTTATGCAGTGCAAGCAAACATACACACACACACACACACACACACACACACACACACGCATGCAAGCTGTGAATGTTTATGCATACTCAGGAGGAAGCCTTCTCAGGGTCACTGTTTCCGGAAACTGACCTTGAAAACAGACCTGCATTTAAATATCACAGATGTACTTTGACGAATGAGGAAGTAAGAGACATAGAATGGTAACTAAATTCATCAGGGTATTATATATTGAGCAACTGATTCTTCTGGGAAAGCTGCACCCAGTTTCTTTTTGAGGAAACACCTCTCTTCCCCCACTGTCAGGCCATGTTCTCTATAGAGTTCTGGTCTCCTGAGTCATGTTAATCAATAAATTCTCATTTTTGTTTAAGCCAGTTTGGATTCGATTTCCCATCACTCTCCACTAGGAAATTTTTACTGATTCAGGATAGTTAGCCAGCTAGGAAGAGCCAGCTCTGCAGCCCACTGTGGGTGACAGCGCCTAGGTCAGGAGATCTTAGCAAGCCTGCAGATAGGGGCAGCAGAGGGAAGCTGGGGCAAGTGGCTTCATTCATAAAGGGGAAGACTATCAGGAAGGCAAGCAGAGCCCGTCAGAAGCCAGCCCTGGAAAAAGAAAAAGGCTCTAGGTCAGCAAGTGAATGTGATATTTTTCACTTTGAAGATGGGAGCCAGGGGAATGAAAGGAGAAAGGAAGAAAGAAATCAAACCCATGACATAAAAAGAATGCCTATGCCCTTCTGAGTCAGACACTTACAGGTAATCCAAAAACTTGAGAAAAAAATTGCTGTTATACATTACCGTTATGTCAACAAATCCCTTGTAGCTTTGAATATACTGGGTAATTTCCTCTGAGGATTTCTTACTCCGAAGAAATTCACATCTGTAATTAATAAATATAATTAAAATTTACCCCAGTACTGTGATAGAGCTGTCCTATATCACAATGAACATTTATAAAGACGTATTGAATTGTTGAATTTTATTATACTTCAATAAAATTGCCAAAAAATTTACCACAAAACTTAGGAGAATTACCATTATTCTCATATAATTATTTGTTATTTCTATTAGTGACAACATGTGTAGTTATTTAAAATTAAATCTTCAGGTTAACTTTTTTCTTGAAATAAAACATGCAATACAATCAAAGAGACTGATTTACAGTAAATATAGGATGGAGCTTTTGTTTTTTGGAATTAAGCAGTGGTGACTAAATCTAGTCGCTAGGGTTATATGAAAGCTACTGGCAGTAAAGAGAACTATATTTAAAATAATAGGCCAGACGCAGTGGCTCACATCCAGGAGTTCAAGACTAGCCTGGGCAACATGGCAAAACCCCATCTCCACAAAAAATACAAAAATTAGCCGGGCATGGTGCCACACCTCTGTAGTCCCAGCTACTCAGGAGGCTGAAGGGGGAGGATCACCTGAGCCCGGGGAGGTAGAGGCTGCACTGAGCCATGATCAGGCTGCTACACTCCAGCCTGGGCAACAGACTGAGACCCAGTCTCAAAAGTAAATACAAAAAATCTTTTTAAGATAACAATATATTTATCTACTGAACAAAAAATTACCATGCATTAAAAAGTAATGGCTATTAGGCCAGGCGTGATGGCTCACGCCTGGAATCCCAGCACTTTGGGAGGCCGAGACAGGTGGATCACGAGGTCAGGAGTTCGAGACCAGCCTGGCCAAGATGGTGAAACCCTGTCTCTACTAAAAGTACAAAAATTAGCTGGGTGTGGTGGCAGGCGCCTGTAATCCCAGCTACTTGGGAGGCTGAGGCAGGAGAATCGCTTGAACCTGGGAGGTGGAGGTTGCAGTGAGCTGAAATCATGCCACTGCACTCTAGCCTGGGCAACAGAGCAAGACTCAATCTCAAAAAAAACCAAAAACAAAAAAAGTAACGGATGTTAATGGATAATTTTTGATTTTTTTAAAAAAGAGCACACTGAATACCATTTAAAAACATATTCCTTTCCCATAAAAGAGAAGCAGTTTTAAAATTAACTTTTAAAATTTCCTCCAATTCAGCTGGGCATGGGGGATCATGCCTGTAATCCCAGCACTTTTGGAGGTTGAGGCGGGTGGATCACTTGAGGCCTGGAGTTTGAGACCAGCCTGGTCAACATGGTGAAACCCTGTCTCCATCAAAACTACAAAAATTAGCCTGGCATGGTGGCATGCGCCTTGTAGTTCCAGCTGCTCTGGAGGCTGAGGCAGGAGAATTGCTTGAACCCGAGAGGTGGAGGTTGCAGTGAGCCGAGATCACGCCACTGCACTCCAGCCTAGGCAACGAGAGCGATACTTCGACTCAAAAAAAGAGAAGTTATCTCTAGGTAAGATCATGATGGAAATTTTCATCTTACTTTATACCTTTCACTGTTGAAATTATTTTACAGTTGAAGTAAAGGAAATTTTACAATATCCAACAAGAGCCGATGTCATTTATTTAATATCAAAATTAATATTGGAAAAATGTCTATACTTTAGGCTACCACCCATCTGCCTGAATTAATCAGCATTAATACTTAATTTTAAATATTACCTGTCAACGCAGGTCACTGAATGTGATCTCCTTTAAGGTATTATCATGTAATAAACTGCTACAAAAAGTCTAATTCTCTCAAGAGTTTTATAGTCATCCACTTCATTTTCAGGTCAACATTTTAACATATTTTCCCATATTTTTTTCTGAAGCTTTAATCTCTGCAAAGCCCATCTTTAAATTTGAAGGAAAAGGTAGAAGAGTGAGGAGCAGCAGTAATTAACTTGAATTTGGAACTTGGATATAACTAAAGACACATTTTGCTTCTTCATTTTTATGTCAGTTTGCAAAGGAAACAGTTATGATTTTAGCTAAATACAGAAATTTTTTTCTTTTTTCTTTTTAAAATTCTACTTGTATCACATTTCAAAACCTACTCTGAATTTTCACTCAGTTCCCACAATATTACCATAATTCTTTGAGCTGTTGGCAAAATGGATCCATTTTATAAAGTCATGCCTTTTGCATTGAGCTTTTGCCTGTCTCATATATTTAGATAAATTTGAAAGCAAAAGGAATATCCACTGTGTTGAATATCTTTAATAGCATGGTTGAAATTTATAATTTGAAATTCGTAAGTTCAAAGAACATTTATCTACTGCTTGATTTTATGCTTGAAACTTCCTATGCTTCACAGCAGTTTTTTTTTAATAGGTGGACAAAAATCCTTCCTCCTATCATTCATAACAATTTTCTTTATACTTAAGTAAAATATACAGAAACTTTTAAAGGAACGCCAAAATCTTGTTCCCTCTTATTGTTGCCACATTATTTTTATTATATTACCCAACCAGGTTTTTATGGTTATGCTTATACTCTCATACAAAACAGTTTTAGAACAAATATTGAAGGAAATGCAGGGTCACAAAATGAATAAGTTTACCTTAATAACATTAATATGAACAATGATATTATTTTATTGAACTTAAAGCACGCTCTTGAGCTTAAGAGCAAAGATGTAGCCACAGTTGAACTTGTATTTATTTGGGCTATATTTGTGCTTTTAATTACTCATACTAATACACAGGAAGCTTATTTGCAACAGGATATTTATATAATTTAAAATATTTTCAGAGTTTTTGTGTGTGTTGAAATGTTAGGAAAACAGAACTCATTCTTAAGCAATGATTTGCAAAGAGCAGTGCTCATATGCAGATTTTTAAGGCATAGCCCAAATGGTTAGAAATGCTGCAAAAGTTTAATTTTCTTTTGGGTGATCTGTTGTCTGGAAAAAGCTGTTACATGTAAAAATTTGGATGCTGAAATCAAATGGCTATACCCAAATGAGCAAGAATAGTTTAAAACATTTAAATCAGCATCTGCATAAAAATTAATATAAATATTATTTATGACTGTTATGTATATATAATTATATTATGTATAAGAATATATTTATACAAATATATACTACTAGAAAATTGTATATGATGCACTATTTTATTTTATGTAATATTTTATGTATATATTTATTTACACATAATTTATATACTTTTAAGACTGTGTCCATTTTTCATTTATTCTTGGTCTCCGGTTTGAACAACGCTGCTTTATGGCATTACACTGATAATTCTCTCTACTCTTTAGTTCTCTTCCTTATCGCTTATTCATGTGTATCTTATTCCATGCTATAATGTAATGTACCATACATGTGTTGAATTTTAAAAAAAAATTAGCAGAATTTCAATGCTTTCCTATATTACTCAACATAAATATTCTCTATATAGAATGAATTGGAACAAGCTATTTGTGAATCTGAAAGGATAATCAGTGATTCTACCAATCATAGTGGTAAACTCATTCAAACTCAGCCTGTTAAAATGAGACGCTCTGCCCTATATCACTGAAAACCTCTTGATTTGCCAGATTTTTCCCTTCTTTACAAATGAAAATGCTTAGTGTTTTCTGAGTTCCTTTGCACTATCTCCCACTGGATTCAGGTCATTGATTTCATCTTCAGAACACTTGGAAAGTTTATTTTGTGGTGTCTATGAGCTAATTTATTTTTATTGCAATGTTTATTTAAAATGAAACAATAAGTACACTGAAGTTTTGTGCATTTCATTTTATGAAAATGTTATCCCAAAGGGATACAGAAGAACTAAATACAAATTTTCAAAATTTATTGTTTTTTTTTGCCTGCTGCTATATCTGAGGTTGTACTTTTGTTCTGATCTTTGTAACACCTCAAAAAAAAAATGGGTTAAGAGAAGGATGAACAGAAGAATGGATATGAGACCTATCTGATAAGGCAAGCAGATTAATAGACGAATGGAGGAATGTTTGGATGTATAGGTATATATGTGTTCATTGCACACATATGGAGGAATGTTTGGATGTATATGTATATGTGTTCATTGCACAGTTTTCAACTTTTTGTGTTGAAATTTTTATAAAAAGAAGTTGGAGAAATAAAAAACAAGAAAACAGAACCATAAGATTTTTATTTAACATTTTTGATTAAAGGAATTGTATTGCAAATTATGACTTTTTAATTTGGCAACATCCTTTTAATGGTGTTCTTTCTTTGTCCTTCTCTTTCTCTTCCTCTCTCTCTCCCTCTCTTCCCTAAAGCTCCATTCCGACTTAGACAAGGGAGAGGGCACTGCGAAATACACCCTCTCAGGAGATGGCGCTGGCACCGTTTTTACCATTGATGAAACCACAGGGGACATTCATGCAATAAGGAGCCTAGATAGAGAAGAAAAACCTTTCTACACTCTTCGTGCTCAGGCTGTGGACATAGAAACCAGAAAGCCCCTGGAGCCTGAATCAGAATTCATCATCAAAGTGCAGGATATTAATGATAATGAGCCAAAGTTTTGGGATGGACCTTATGTTGCTACTGTCCCAGAAATGTCTCCTGTGGGTGAGTAGGCAAATCAAAATTCTGTGAGATACAATGAGACCTCTTCAACATTGACTTTTTGCAGGTTGATGTAAACATCTTATCTATCATCTAAAAGAATTATTTTTCAATTCTAGAAAATACAGTTCTTTTCATTTATTTTTGTAACTTTTTTGTTTTTCTTTCTGCTTCATTATGAAGATAACTACAGGAATATATAACATTAGTTCCTGTTTTCCACCCTGTGAATTTACCTGAATTCATAGAATCCTTGCGTGCTTTAAGCAAAAAATGTATTTTGTATTGAAATTGATTCTTATCTCAATTCCAGACACCTATACAGTGCTGGAGACACCTACCCTACACCACGAAATGCCAGACAGTAATTCCTAGATCAAAGTAAATGATCTAAAGCATGCATCACATCTGATCTGGAAGTGGTCCAGAAACAGGTGTGTTGCATCTTTTGTAGCTGTAAATAGAGATTCTGGAAGGGTGATACTGTTTCCTTTTCAGGGTAAATAACCCATACTTGTTATGCCATCAAGCCAAGCAGCAAATGAATAATGTCATGAAAACATTATTAGAACAAATTAACAAATTACAATTACAATTATCAAATTAACAATTAGAATATAGTAGCACCATCATTCTAAAAATTTAAATTTGATATAAATATACATTTCCATATCAGCCTAAATTTACAAAGTCCTATAATATGTAGGATATAAGGTCAATAAGTTAAGAATTCCAGCCTTAAGGACAATTTTAAATTATAATTTTTATTCCTCAGTCACCACTGCTAATCCTTCAATTTATTTCAAAGTAACTTCTGGTTTTTATTACATTTGGAAGATAAAGCAACTTATCACATGTAGGTTACAACTTAAAATTCGTGTATGAGCCATTGCTTATATTTTCTAAATCTGACATGACCCAGGGGGTTTCTACTGCTCCTACCACCACCCAGGACATGCGATGAAGATTGTGCACGCTACCGTGAGGGCAGAAGCAGGTTAGTAGCTGTAGGAGCTGTCACATGGATTTACTATAATGCACTTGAAATTGTGTATGTGACCTTATCAGGCATTTAAGGACCATAATCTCTCCTTGACCTAAGAAATCAGCTTGAAGTAATTCACTTAGATTTCAAATTTTAATGTGGATACCCAAGGCTGCAAATCTGTTATTCAGTACCTGCTACACTTTTGGGGTTGCCTCTTTTATGCACTGTTAGAATTGCTAGAAATTTAGAAGTCCAATTGGAAAGAAGCATATCTTGTTAGAAAGTATTCCCAGAAAATGAGGAAGGCTACATTTTAACTGTGTCTTGATTTTACAGGGAGAAAAATAAAGTTAATATTTTGAGGAAAAAATAAGGCTTTTAAGATGACATGCTATATAGTAGACAAATAGTTTAACTCGGTGCCTACTTCATGTACACTGGATGTGTTAACATGAATTTATGACCTTCAGTGACTTTTTATTACCAAAACAGCTTCCTTAAAGCAAACACACACACATGCCTCTACAGTATTGGAAAATTCCGTCTCCTTAGATAAAACAATTAGGATTTTTCTTGGGCCAACTAGAATAATTAGGGCTGCAGAGTTGGAGCCTTTATATAAGGAGTTTGCAGCTCATATCCGAAGAGAGAAATGTATTTGGAAAGTCAAAAGTGTAGGTAAGTGAGAAAGCAGAGTAGTTTCAGCTTTTGCAGTTGGAGTGGGTATAATTTACTGTGTTGTCATAAGATACTGGAAAGATCTTTGGAAGAATAGGTTCTTAAAGTGTTTTCTCATGTGCCCTTACTGACATTTCCCATTGGGCCTTCAAGACAACTCCAGTAAATACTTAAATTGATTTTCAGTGCACTGCTTTCTTTCATTTTTATTTATTTATTTTGAGACTGGGTCTTGGTCTGTTGCCCTGGCTGGAGTGCAATGGCCCAATCTTAGCTCACTGAAGCCTTAAATTCCTGGGCTGAAGAGATCCCTCCACCTGAGCCTCCTTAATAGCCAGCCATGTGCCACCCTGCCTAGCTATTTGTTTTTGTTTTTTTTTTTTTTTTTTACTTTTTGTAGAGAAGGGATCTAGCTATGTTGCCCAGGCTGTTCTCAAGTAGTCCTGGCCTCAAATGATCCCTCCACCTTGGCTTCCCAGAGCACTGGGATTACAGTCATGAGCCACCCTCCTGGCTCCTTTTTTTTTTATTTTTAATAACAGAAGGGTATTTCTTTTGAATGTGAAATTTTACCACATGGTATGAATTAGTCCAAGTGTTTTTATACTAAATTTACATAATATACACTTTTCAAGTAAGTACAAAGAGGTATAAACACTGCTTATGAATTGAATGTTAAAAAATAAATCTCTATGCATTACTTTTGTCTTTCCCCATAATCTCACGTATACACATAAAACAAAAAACAAGAAGACCCAGTTATAGTTGTGGTATCTGCTGTTTCTGCCTTGAAATTTCCAGCTTACAGCTAAGCAACAACTACTGTGCATCCAGAACTTACATCTATGTTCCTAGAGTACTTGTACCCCATTCTCAAGTGCACCCTTCTTACCAGGTGGAAATAGTTCACTGCTGTAATAATCTAAGAAAACATTATGTTTCTCTCTACTTTTTTTTCTCTCATATAATCTAGGCAATTCTCCCTCTGTATCATTTTCCTGAGAAAACTAAAATAATTTTTAATCAAGACCAGATGGAACTTTGTATGGTATATTGACAGTATACCAATTGTTGTGACGAATCTTACTGCCTGTTGTAGATATCAGTGTTTGAAGTATTCCCTATGAAATAACTTTTCTGTCCCAATAATTGAGAGGGCTGTTTCATTTCCAAAAAAGGGAAGAATTAATCAATTAAAAATACATATAGTGAAATAACCTGTTTTGTAACATAAAACATAAGATGAAGAAATATCGGAACATTGATACGAAGTTTAACAGTAATGGATTATATATCCAGAAATATGAACAAATAAACCTGCAATGAAAATTTACTAATGTTACTAATTTTCACTTGTGTAACGTGAACATTACAAAGAACATAGTGTACAAAGGGAGAATGTTGGTGGGTAGGATGAGTCAAGATTTCAGAGGAAAATCAATATTTAAGACTTACAGCACTGTGGAATATATTTCATTTTCCTAAAGTTGAAGAAAATTTCAGTGAATCTATGAATTGTTTAAGACAAAGGTCACTCCGTTACTGACTTCTGCTACATCTAATTTTCCAGGGAAGTAATATTTAGAGATAAAAAGCTTTTACTCTGACCTCCGGAAATTACTTAATGATCCAGATACTCCCAAAGTCAAAGCAAATCCTTGGAGACAAGTTTGGACTTTATGAATGTGGACTTAATTCTTTAAGATCACTAGAGCAACAATAAATTACAGGAATGTACCCTCTTTATATCTGATGATTATGCATAAGTGGGGTGTGCAGTTTTAAGTTACTTTTCCTACAGTGCTGACAGGTTTAGAGTGTTAAATCCATACTCAACTTGTATTATCTTCCTCTGCTTGAGCTATGCCACCTTGAGTCAGCTGATTTGACTATTTATAATTAGATACCTAACCTATGATATGATATAGTAGATGTCAATAGTGACTCATCATTTATGTAGTAAGTCTTACCATTTTCTAAGCAGTAGTCAGGTGCCATGTGATCTAACTAAAGATTTGTATTTCTTATTTTACTTAACAATTACAGTAACCCCAATGCAGTATTATTCACTGTTGGATTTTTTTTAATGTGAAAACTTAATAACCCCTGTGGATAAGAAAGTAAGAATGATTCTTAGGTGCTTTAGGACCAAATTAATCAGAATTTAATATACCACTTTGTCTAGGTGTCATGGCGGCTAAAATATCTTTGAGAAAGTTAAACTTAGCTTTCAATCTCAGATGATCTACTTAAGAATTTGGAAAGTTTATATTATATTATTTGAGAATGGGGATTCTTGCTTAAACGAAACCTGAAGGATGGGCATCTTTCATTCAATATCTTAAAAAGAAAGTTTAGCTGACATTTAAATAAGAAAAGATACACCTAAAATAAAGTAGAACACTGGTTTAATAAAAATAGTGAACAGGTACTCCCTTGCCTTTCTATTTTTCTCTCAACTCTATTTTATTTTACATGAAGTTTGGGGAGAAATGCTAAGATGAAATTTTTGGTGGAGTCTTTCAGAGGTTATTTAACCAGAGACTATTTTCTTTTTTCTTTTTTTTTTTTTTTTTGAGATGGAGTCTTGCTCTATTGCCCAGGCTGGAGTGTAGTGGTGCGGTCTTGGCTCACTGCAACCTCTGCCTTCCAGGTTCAAGTGATTCTCCTGCCTCAGCTTCTCGAGTAACTGGGATTACCGGTGTGCACCACCGCACTCAGCTAATTTTTGTATTTTTAGAAGAGATGGGGTTTTGCCACATTGGCCAGGCTGGTCTCGAACTCCTGACCTCAAGTGATTTGCCTGCCTCGGCCTCCCAAAGTGTTGGTGTTAAGGACATGAGCCACAGTGCCCAGCCAACCAGAGACTACTTGTTTCGTGGCCATATTTAAACGGTCTAAGAAGGAAAAGTGAAGACTGTGTCTGTACTTTACATTAATGAACTATTACAATTTAGAAACATATATAAGTCTCCACACTTCCTTATTTTCACAAAAATGCCATAGAGAGACAAATTGAAACATAAAAAACTAGATATATTCTCTCATCCCATGAGCCAGCCATGGAAACAGAGAGCAGCTCAATTAGTAGCAGAGGAACAGGTGAATTATCATCCACTTCTATCTATGCCCTAAAAGCAGAGTTTTTTCAGAAGCTTGAAGACAGAATGTTGACTATTTATTTTCCACACATAAAGACATTCTCCTTGTGCAATCAAACTACAATGTTTAAAATCAGGAAATTTGCATTAATGTATTATTATAATCTAATCCTTCAGCCCTATTCAAGCATTAGCACTTGTCTCAATAGTGTCTTATATAACAAAAAGTTCAAGTTCAAAATCAAACATTGTATTAAAATGTTAGGTCTGTTTAGTTTCCTTTAATCTGGAACAGGTTCATATTTTTTCTTGGTTTCCGTGACTTTAATATTTTTGAAGATTTCTGCCTAGTTATTTTTTAGAATGGCTCTCCCATCTTGAGTATGTGTGATGTTTCCTCATGTATGAATGAAGCATATACATCTTTGTCAGAAATATCCCAGAAGCAATTCTGTACTCTCCTCATTATGTTCTATTGGGTGGGCCATGGTTTTTGATTTGTCTCATTACTGATGATGGTTACTTTTATTATTTGATAAAGGTTGTATATAACTTATCTATTATGGCATAATACATTAGCTAAAACCTTAGCGGTGTAAAACAGCAGATACTTACGTTTCTCATAGGAATGGCTCTATTGAGTACCTCTGTCTCAAGGCTTCTCAAGAGTTTGTAGCTACCTTGTTGGCTGGGGTTGCGGTCTGACCTAAAGGCTTAGTTAGGGGGTGGTAGAAATCTTCCATATGTTCTTTGCTACGTGGACCTCACAGGCCTACATCATAACGTGGCAGCTGGCTTTCCTCAGAATGAACTACCCAAAAGAGAGCTAGACAGAGAGAAAACCCTCTGATTGAAGCCATAGTCTATTTATAACCTAATCTTGAAAGTGACATCACATCCCATCTGCCATATTATACAAGTAAGTGCAACGCGAATACAAGAAAGCTGGGATCATTGAGGGCTCTCCTACAGTCTACCTACCACTCTCTATATTCTGGCTCTCAATGATTCATGTTGCTCTCTCATGCAATATATCCTCATCCCCTTCTGAGGACCCCAAAATTTTCAACCCACTATAGCATCAGCTCAAAGTCCAGAAGCTTTTCATCTAAATCAAGTCCAGATGGGGAAGTGATTTTGGGTTTAATTCTTTTTTTTTTTTCTTTTAGATTTTTTTACTTTTAGTTTTGGAGTACCTGTGCAGGATGTGCAGGTTTGTTACATTGATAAACATGTGCCAGGGTGGTTTGCTGCACCTATCAACCCATCACATAGGTATTAAGCCCAGCATGCATTAGTTATTTTTTCTAATGCTCCCCATCCCTCCCCTCCACCCCCCATCAAGCCCCAGTGTGTATTGTTCTCCACCCTGTGTCCATGTGTTCTTACTGTTCAGCTCCCACTTCTAAGAGACAACATGTGGTGTTTGGTTTTCTGTTCCTGCGTTACTTTGCTAAGGATAATGGCTTCCAGATTCATCCATGTCCTTGCAGAGGACATGATCTCATTTCCTTTTTGTGGCGGCATAGTATTTCATGGTGTATATGTACCACATTTTCTTCATCCAGCTTTGTGATACTAAAGAGGCCAGTTACTTACTACACATTCACCAAAAATACAGTGGCAAAACAGGAATAATGTCTCTAGACATTCCTGTTGAAAAAAATGGGAAAATGCACAGACTAAAAGAATGATTGGTCCACCACATTTTAAAATCCCAGTGGTAAATGTTGCAAGTCATTTGATTATATTCAACGCCTGTGAATAATTATTCATGCCTCTCATCTCTGACCTCTAGGCTCTTCGTTCTGCCTTTTGAGTTATTCTTTTTTTTTTTTCCATGAAATACAGCTTGTACTTGCAATAGTACTTGGGTGTTGAACTTGTTAAGAGTGCTTATCCTTTTTTTCAGATCCATCTATCATTTCCTAGTTGTATGTGGTTGTGTGGGTTATTTCTCCTCTTTTACATTGATTTTCTCACCTGCAAGTGAATAATAGTAACACTTTATGAGCAGGGTTATTGCAAGTAGCAAGGAGAAAATATATATTTACCATTTGCCACAATCCCTGGGGAAGTGCAGTCAATACATTGGAAAGGGTCCTCATAAGAGTTTGATGATCATTCTCAGAAAGCTAGCCAGAGAAAGTCTAAATGGTAAAGGTTCCAGCTCATTATCTTCTTCCCTTTTCTCAAGTTTTCTCTCCATCTGACATGTGAGCTCAGTATTTACCATTGCCCTTTCTACAAATTTAACCAAGTTTATTTAAAAACATAATGACCTTCTATCCCAATTTACATTTTCTTTGGTGTAGAGGACGCCTTTACCTTGATGTGTGGAGACAAGCCGTTGATTTGTAAGAAACACCAATTATCAGCTTCCACTTGTGCTTCACAATCTGCTGAGTCGCTTTAACACTTTTGATGAAATTGAGCAAGGCCTTGTGATCTCTCCTGTGCCAGCCGTGAAGTGTCCACTGCACGCAGCTTGGCAGAACTATTTTCAGGGCCATAGGATGTTATGGCTGTGTGGGCAGGGAGCATTTTATTCGTCTGTTTGATTCCTATGTTTTTATTAGTGGTGCAATTGCAAAGGTAATGCTATTGACACTTTTTGTGTAGCCTTGAGAGAAGAGTATGAATTGTTTTAGTAGCAGCACAGCGTGTCCCTAAATATAAATCATGCTGTACTGATAGTTACTTTAGCAGCCACTGATCAGCAATAAATGTTAAAAATTAACAAGAAGTTTCTTTTTTTCGAAACCGCCAAATGACTCTAAGCATTAAATATATTTTAGCCGGAGTTGCTTCTCGGCCACAGAGTGGTTCACAACATTAAACATATTTTCAAAGTATTACTCCTTCCCCAGCCTCCAAGTGGTTGTAAACATTAAATATGTCTTATAAAAACTGCTTTGCCAGCTACTGGCAAGACAGCTATGAACATCATTTTTCTTTAAAGTTGCCTTCCAGCTGCGGGACTATTTTTCCTTATTTGCTCTATTCTATTTATATTTTGTACACAAAAGCAGGCAAGAGGCTACATTGGCCCAATTGTCTCTGGCTTTATGATAAGTGATCGTGGGAGAGCAGTTGCACCTCCGTAAAACCCTGCTGGCCACAGGAGCTTGCTGAAGTTCAATCACTGATACTGAATATTTCATATAGATGTCAGCTGTGTCTTCCAAAATAATTTTTGTTTTTCATTGTGCAATGTGTTGAGGCATAAAGATGGGCATGCATTAACATCAGCATTAAGAAAAATAACTTGAAGCAACCAGACACTGATGAATTATACCCACTGATTCAGGTGAAAATATTCCGTGAAGAGAACAGACTCAAATGGCAGGACTAGTATGTTAATGAGGTCTTTAACCCAAACATGATGAAAGACTTGGAACCTCTGTCTGGAAATCATCCAGTCTGACAACTGCATGCGATTCAAAAAGAGTGAAGAGTATGCTATTACATAAAGGTCTATCCAGGACTTAGAGCAGGAAATCTTTTCATTTTAACCAAATTCACAGTGAAAATAACGTGTGTCCCCTGAGTGAATTGAAAAATAAATTAGCTCTATCATCTCAGGCACAGTAATTCATCATCAGGCCAAATAATTAATTACTCAGGAAGGCTTTGATTTCTATGGGAGCCAAGTGTTCTCCAAATTGTGTAGTACTGTATCTTGCCAAATGTTTTATTTTAGGTGTATGTTCAACAGGTTCCAATATTCATCAATACCTACGTGACAGGCACTATTTTAGGTACTGGAGCTAGAACTTGAGCAAAAAAGACAAAAAGTCCTCCTCTCAGGAAGCTTTTACTCCAAAGGCCTCCTGCAGGGGCAGCAAGCTAAACTCTGTGAGCTAAATTCAACATATCATCTGTTTTTATTGGAACAGTTACACTTATTCATTTCTGTGTTGTCTATGGCTGCTTTCACACCACAATGGAAGAGCTGGCAACAGAGACCATATGGCCTGCAAAGACTAAAATATTTACTATCTGCTCCTTCACAGAAAAGTATGTTGACCCATTACATAGTGGATTGAGTTTGAGAGAGGAGATTAAGGTAAGGCCAACATTTTAAATCGACCTATGAGGAAAAAGTGTTTTTTTTCTCCCTAAAAATTACCTCTTCCAAAAGAAAACAAAACACAAAAAAACATAAAAATAAAAAGAAAGAAAATGGCAAGACCCAAGGTAAAATGAAGGGTAAAAGTGAGCACCACACTAATACATATGTATCAGCGTGAAATCAGATGCTGCCATTTAGTTCCTGCTGAAAGTGTTGGTTTGGCTTTATTAAAATAACTTAAACACAGTCTTTCAATGTTATAGACTCATGGTAAAGGTTTCTTTTTCCTTTTGTGAATTTTTAAAAATTTCTCTGCAAAAATTATTCCTCACACAATTATGTAACTTTATATTTTCGATTAAAACTAAAACTAAAAATGTTGAAAGAACAACTCGATATTGGATTAAAATATTCATTTTCCATCTTCATTCTCAGGATTCATATTTGGTTGCCTCATTGCGATATAAGTATGTTGAAAAAAATGGAAAATTGCTGAAAGCAAAAATTTTAAAACTCACCAGTATTAATAATTATCACCAAATAACTATTACAGAAAACTTCCTCAGAAAGTAAAATTAGAGTGAAGGTATCACAGGTTGGCACTATTTTCATTCCCGACCAAGAAACTGACACCTGAAAATTAAAAAAAAAAAAAATCAGAGTCTACAGTTTTACAAATAATTAACAAAATGAACATCAAAATAGGGTGCAATTTGTTTAATTGGCAAAGGCACACAACGAAAAAGAAATATGTCAATTAAACTGTCAACCATGTTAATTTTGCCTCTGAGAAAAACATTGTAATGGGATAATTTCACGAAATGCTTTGATGACAAGAAAATGCCAAAATATGATTAGCTACTTCAAAATTCAGCTGAAACAAGAAAGCAATTGGTGGCAGCCAGAATAACCAAAGGTCTTTTTTTTAATATACCTTTTTCTTTCCGTCTCTTTTTGCCTGTGTTTAATCAACAGCGTACATTTTGTTTGACAGTGAAATGATTCATAATGAAAACACTGGCATCACAAAAACTTAGCAGAAACTTTGCTATAAGATTAGAGTATACACTTCTATTTTCCCCAAACTCTTTAAAAATATAATTACTATTTCTGAAAGAATTTGTTATCTTTATGAAATAATGTATTTTTCTTACTAGCATTAAGTGCTTATTTAGCTAAAAGCCAGAATTAGAAGCAATTCACTCATATGAGTATGTTTATATTTATATTGTCAAATATATTTACTTAGAATTTAAACCAAGATATATTTTATTTATTGTTCTCATCACTGCCTGTTAGTCAGAATGGATATTTTAAATTTTACCAGGTCATGTAAATTTTACTACCTATATTTCTTATTCCTGTTTGTTTAGAAAAATAATCTAGTCTATACCTAAGCTAACAAATAATCCTAAACATTGAAAATACAAACATGAGTATGAAGAATTCACTTTCTAATAAGTTTCAGCTTTTTACAAATGGCTGCTTAAATATAATGCATAAATATGACGTATTTTTAAAAATACATCTTGTTTATGCATTACTTGAACCATAACTAATCCCCATTTCCAGTCAAAAAGAACACTGTCTACATATGTTAATCTCTAATACAACAAAAGCAGGCTTAGCTTAATGGGAAACTTATTAGAGTAAAATAGTTCTTTTTATTTTTTATTTTATTTTATTATTACAATAAGAAGATTATAATTTGGTAACTAGCAGGAGAAGAAAGACTTCCAAAGATTATTTTATGGGTCCATGTATTTGCTTTTCCTGAGGGTAACTAGTGCTAATTCTAGAAAGGCAGAATGCTGTAGGAAAAACAAAATAAGCCCTGGAGTACAAAAGATTTGGATTCAAACTTTGAAGAAGGATGGGGAAGTGTTTAGGAAAGTGCTTCCCTGTGTAAAACTTAGCTGGTAAGTACCATATTTCACTGAAATTGCTGTTATAATAATTGAAACAGATTATTATTGGAAAAACAACATCAGCAAAACTAAAACCTAGATGAGTTTAAATAAGTGCCAGCCATTTTTCTCCTGTGGGGATTTAGAGTTGAAGTGGGTATCTTCGATTACTTTTCTTTATCCTCATTCTTATTCTTATAATTTTTCCTAATAAGTCACCTAAGAAGGGCATTTAAATAAGTGCTAGCCTTTTTTCTCCTAGGGGGATTTAGAGTTGAAGTGGATGTCTTCAATTACTTTTCTTCTCTATTCTCGTTCTTATTCTTATAATTTTTCCTAATAAGTCACCTAAGAAGGGGATTCTAGAAACATCTCTTTCCAAGAATACATATTGTTTTAAGAAATATCAGTTACCCCAAATACTTGAATAGAAACTAGGAAAACAGGAGAGGGAGATTATAGGTGTAAACAAGGAATTACTGTGCAGTAATATGTGTAGTGGACGTGAAAAGTAATGACTTAACAGTTTGAATACACAAAGATGGACCAAACAAATACATTTATTTCTCCTTTATTCCAAATTGCCATTGAAATAGGAAAATATAGTACTTATTAAAATAACTATGGAAAGTTGAGAAGAATTCTACCAACAGACTAAAGAGTAAGCAATTTCTGAAGGACATAAGTCATATCAGAGGCACTTTAGTCTTTGGCCATAATAGAATTATTGGAGGGACTTGCCTTTTCACTATAAACAATGATAAAACTGGGCAACATATATGAGGAACCAGATTTTATGCATCAAACAAGAAGTACAAGTTTTTCATACTCAAGAGAGAAGAAAGCTGTGAGGTAAGTACCACATTTAACCAGAGAATGTGACTAGGGGCACTTTTTCTCCCATTAAACAAGGAGGCAGACTCTAAAAATAATGAGTTTAGAGGAAGAAATTAAAGCTTAAAGCTCTCATTTTGTAGGTTGTCTGCTTATTTGTTGATAATTTCTTTTGCTATGCAGAAGCTCTTAGTTTAATTAGGTTCCAAAAAGAGGTAGGGGTAGAGGGACAAGAGCCAAGGAACTTCCTGTTAGGTATTCAGTTCACTACCTGGGTGACAGGATCAGTGGAAGCCCAAACAGTAGCAGCAAGCAATATAACTTTGTAACAAACCTGCACATATACCCCCTGAATCTAAAATTACAATTAAATCTCTATCTATATCATCTCTCTCTCTCTCTATCTATCTATCTATCGATATTTGTAAATAGCTTACACTTGCTTAAGTGGTTGTTATTTAAGAGCTGCTGAAGTGGCTGAAATTTGTATAGGAAAGGAAAAAGAGGCATGGGGTAGGCCTACAGAAGCCAGAATAAGTATTTGGCACCAATTTCGTCAAAAGCTGCTCTATACCTGAGCAGGGTTAACATCTGCAAGACCTGCTGAAAGCAGATACTGTGGGAATAAGATATCAGTAGTAACAGGACAAGGAGATGTTTGGGTTACTGACTAGCCACAGGGAAGATATTTTACGGAATATTCCAGGCATTAAGAACAAGGACTATTTCTTTCAGTAAAGACTATGTCCTATCTTTAAGAACAAAAATGAAAGAGATTTTCATTAACAAATAATGAAACCAGGCATGGCAGATCAAAAGGATCTGGAAGCCACTTAACAGCTTTCAAAGGACTATCTTAGGGCCTTTTACAAGAAGACAACGTCTAGATTTTCTACAGTGTATTAGTCAAAAATACAAGTTACGCAAAGAAGCAGGAAAATTTAATAAATAATCAAGGGGAAAAAAGCAGTCAATAGAACATACATCATAATGACCCAGGCATTGAAATCAACAGATATATATTATGAATATGTCCTTAGACTATGGAGATATTGTCACAATGATAGAACGAAAAAGGTAATTTTGAGAAATGAACATTGTTGAAGTAACAAGTGCAAAATATACAATGAAAGAGTCACTGGCAGGGTATACTCTCAGATTTCAGCTCTCTGAAAAGCAGACAAATAACCTTGAAAACCATTTTTGAATTTATCTAATCTCAAACAAAAGAGGAAAATGATTAAAATAAGAGATTGAATGACATGGGATATCAAGCCATCAAACCTATACACAAATGAAGTCTCAAAAGGATGAGTCAGAAAATGGGAAAGAAAAAATATATTTGAAGAAATAATTGCCAGTGTTTTCAAATTTTGATGAAAAATTTCAATGCAGAGATCCAAGAACATCGAATCAACAAGAACACATGTATGAAGGGTATAAAGCCAATAGCATAATTAAAATGAAATATTGAAAAATATCCATTTACTCTAAGGAAGGTAACACTGAACCGGTGAAGAAAGAAATATCAACAACCAAGGGAAGAGAACAACACCCAAATAAGAAAATAGTAGGCAAATAGTAACATGGTAGATTTAACAACACTGACATCACTGATTAAATGTAAATGGATTGAACATTTATATTAGTTTCCTAGGGTTATATAACAAAGTACCATAAACTAGGTGCCTCAAGCAACAAAAATGTATTATCTCAAGTCCTGAAGGCTAGAAGTCTGAATTCAAGGTACTGGTTCCTTCTAAAGGCTGTGAAGAAGAATCTGTTCTAGACATCTCTCCGTGGCTTTTAGATGGCTTTCTTCATGTTCATATGTTGTGCTTTCTGGTGGCATTTTTGTGTCCAAATTTCCCCCTTTCATAAGGCCACCAGTCACATTGGATTACAGGCCACTCTAATGATCCCATTTTGACTTGATTACATCTATAAAGATCCTATCTTTCAATAAGGTTGCATCCTTAATTACTGGGGTAAGGACTTCAACGTATGTTTTTTTTGGCAGACAATTCAACCCATAACACACTTAAATTAAGAGCTAGCAATTTTGAGACTGGATTTAAAAAGGACAAAACTATATGCTCTGTATAATGAATGCATTTTTTTTTTGAGATGGAGTCATAAAATTGGTTGAAAATGAAAGGAAGTAAAACTGATGTAGCTGGCTAATACCAGAGAAAGTAGGATTCAAAATAAGCTGAAATATCAGAGATGGAATGATAAAAGGTTAAGCTCATTAGCAATGCATTATAATTCTCAATGTTTATACAACTGATAACAGAGTGTCAAAATGCATGAAGTAAAAACAGACAGAACTAAACAGAGAAATAGACTTTCACTCATAGTTGAAGATTTTAATCATCGGCTCAAAATAAACAATAGATGAACATATAAAAATTAGTAAGGATTTGGAAGATTCTAATAATACTATCAACTAATGTAGTCTAATTTCAAGTTTTAGAACACTACACAAAAAATTTCATGGAAATATTTTTATCAAATTTACATGGAATGTTTACGAAGGACTGTGTAGTCTCGGTCATTAAATAAGTCTCAATAATTTGCAAAAGATTAAAAATTATCTTCAGAGGTGAAACAATGGTTTTTGCGTTGATTGAGATATTGATTAAATATGTACATTTGTGAAAACTTACTAAATTGAATGCTTAATTTCTGTGCATTTTGCTGTATCTCAATTCTAATAGAAAGACAGGCAAACATATAAATACCTATTACAGACATACCTACACACACACACGTGTGTGTGTATGTGCGTGTGTGTATGTGTGTGTATAAGTCATTTGCATATATACTGGCAGTGAATCCCAGTAAAGGTGAGGAATACATATTCTCACACTGGTAGAAATGATGACTTTTTACAGTCTGATTTTTTTTGTGTTTTAATCCAGAAATAATCCCAAAATTAGAGATACAAGGGAATGGTAATTGGTCCATAGAATAAGAACTGTCCAAGAAGTTTATAGCACATGACTCCCTGTCCCACGCTCAATTGAGGTTTGTTTTATGTCTTTGCTCTGGGAAGAAAGCCCCCAGTTTAGCTTTCTAAATGATGAGTTCAGAATCTACTCACAAGCATTAGAGATTAGTAAAGTTCCTTGTATTCAGTAGAGTTCCTTGCAACAAGCATGAGCAGTAGAGATGCTGCCACTTTCAAAAGACTTACATATGGACCACTGAAAAGAAAGGCATTATGTGGTCAATTTTAGAGCATGTGCCATGTGGAGATGAGAAGAATGTATATTCTGTTGTTTTTGGATGGAGAGTTCTGTAGATGTCTATCAGACTCATTCGGTGGAATGTTGGGTTCAGATCCTGAATATCATTGTTAATTTTCTACCTTGATGATCTGTCTATGACTATCAGTGGTGTGTTAAAGTCTCCTACTATTATTGTGTGGGAGCCTCTTTGTACTCTAAGAACTTACTTTATGAATCTGGGTGTTCCTGTGTTGGGTGCATATATATTTAGGTTAGTAAGGTCTTCTTGTTGAGTAAAACCCTTCATCATTATGTAATGCCCTTCGTCTTTTTTTTTTTTTTTTTTTTTGAGACGGAGCCTCACTCTGTCGCCAGGCTATAGTGCAGTGGCATAATCTCAGCTCACTGCAATCTCCGCCTCCCAGGTTCAAGTGATTCTCCTGCCTCAGCCTCCCGAGTAGCTGGGACTACAGGCACACACCACCAAGCCCAGCTTATTTTTTTTTTTTTTTTTTGGATTTTAGTAGAGATGGGGTTTCACAATGTTGGCCAGGATGGTCTCGATCTCCTGACCTTGTAATCCGCCCACCTTGGCCTCCCAAAGTGCTGGGATTACAGGTGTGAGCCACCACTCCCGGCCCCTTCTTTGTCTTTTTTGAACTTTGTTTGTTTGACGTCTGTTTGGTCTGAAATTAGGATGCAACCCCTGCTTTTTTCTGTTTTCTACATGCTTGGTAGATTTTCCTCCATTCCTTTATTTTGAGCCGATGGGTGTCATCACATGTGAGATAGGTCTCAAAGACAGCATACCATTGAGTCTTGCTTTTTTATTCAGCTTGCCCCCCTTTACCTTTTAAGTGGGGCATTTAGCCCACTTACATTCAAGGTTAGTATTTGATATGTGTAGATTTGATGCCCTCCCTCATGACTCCTATTCAACATAGGAAATCCCAGCCAGAGTAATCAGGCAAGAGAAAGAAATAAAGGGCATCCAAATAGGAAGAGAGGAAGTAAAATTATCCCTATTTGAAGCTGACATGATTCTATATCTAGAAAACCCCATAGTCTCAGCCGCAAAGCTCCTTCTGCTAATAAAAAAAACTTCAGCAAAGTTTTAGAAAGAAAATCAATGTACAAAAATCACTAGCATTTCTATAAACCAACAGTAACCAAGCTGGCAGTCAAATCAGGAAGGCAATCCCATTCACAATTTTCACAAAAAGAATAAAATATCTAGGGTAAAATACAACTAACCAGGGAGGTGAAAAATCTCTACAATGAGAATTACAAAACACTGCACAAAGAAATCAGAGAGGATACAAACAAAATGGAAAACATATCATGCTCATGGATAGGAAGAAGCAATATCATTAAAAGGCCATACTGCACAAAGCAATTTACAGATTAAATGCTATTTCTATCAAACTACCAATGACATTCTTCACAAAACTAGAAACAACTGTTTTAAAATTCATGTGGAACCAAAAAAGAGGCCAAATAGCCAAGGCAATCTTAAGAAAAAGAACAAAGCTGGAAGCATCAGGCTATCTGACCTCAAACTATACTACAGGGCTATGTTAACCAAAACAGCATGGTGCTGGCACAAAAACAGGGACATAAACCAATAGAACAGAATAGAGAACCCAGAAATAAAGCCACACAGCTATGATTATCTGATCATCAATAAAACTGACAAAAACGAGCAATGGGGAAAAGACTGTCTTTTCAATAAATGGTACTGGGATAACTAACTAGCCATATGCAAAAGATTGAAACTGGACCCCTTCCATACACAATATACAAAAATCAACTCAAGATGGATTAAACACTTAAATGCAAAACACAAAATTAGAAAAACCCTGGAAGACAACCTAGGCAATACCATCCTGGACTTAGAACAGGCAAGGATTTCATGACTAAGATGTCAAAAGCAATTGCAACAAAAGCAAAAATTCATAAATGGGAACTTCATTAGTCCATTTTCACACTGCTATAAAGAACCACCAGAGACTGAGTAATTTATAAAGAAAAAGGTTTAATTGACTTGAAGTTCAGCATGGCTGGGAAGGCCTCAGGAAACTTACAATTATAGGAGAAGGTGAAAGGGATGCAATGCACCTTTTTCACAAGGCGGCAGGAAGGAGAAGTACCAGGCAAAGCTGGGAAGAGCCCCTCATAAAACCATTAGATCTCGTGAGAACTCATTCACTATCACAAGAACAGCATGGGTGAAACCACCCCCAGATTCAATTACCTCCACCTGGTCTCTCCATGTGGTGATTATGGAGATTATAATTCAAGATGAGATTTGGGTGGGGATACAAAGCCTAAACATATCAGGATCTCATTAAACTTATTAAGAGCTTCTGCATAGCAAAAGAAACTATTAACAAAATAAACAGACAACCTACAGAATGGGAGAAACTATTTGCAAACTATGCGTCTGACAAATGTCTAAAATCCAGCACCTATAAGGAATTTAAACAAATTTACAAGAGAAAAACAACCCCACTAAAATGTGGGCAAAGTACATGAACAGACACTTTTCAAAAGAAGACGTACATGTAGCCAACAAGCATGTGAAAAAAAAAAAAACTCAATATCACTGATCATTAGAGAAATGCAAATTAAAACCACAATGAAATATAATTTCATACCAGTTAAAATGGCTACTATTAAAATGTCAAAAAATAACAGATGCTGGCAGGTTGTGGAGAAAAGGAAACACACACTGTTAGTGGGAGTGTAAGTTAGTTCAACTATTGTGGAAAGCAGCATGGCAATTCCTCAAAGAGATAAAAGCAGAACTACCATTCCAACCAGCAATCGCATTACTGCATATATACCCAGAAGAAAATATATCATTCTACCATAAAGACACATGCACACAAATGTTCATTGCAGCAATATGCACAATGGCAAAGACATAGAATCAACCTCAATGCTCATCAATAAGAGTTTAGATAAAGAAAATGTGGTATATAGACACCATGGAGCTATAAAAAAGAATGAGATCACGTTCTTTGCAGTAACATGGATGGAGCTGGAGGCTATTATACTGGGCAAATTAACACAGGAACAAAAAACCAAATACTAGAAAATACTGCATGTTCTCACTTACAAGTGGGGAACTAAATTATGAGAACACATGGACACAAAGAAGGGAACAGCAGACACTGGAGTCTACTTGAGAGTGGAGGGTGACAGGAGACAGAGGAGCAGGAAAAATAATTGTTGAGTACTTGGTACCTAGGTGACAAAATGATCTGTACAACAAACCCTGATGACACGAGTTTACCTATATAACAAACTTTCACAGGTACTCCCAAACCTAAAATAAAAGTTAAAAAAAAAAGAAGAAAGCAAGCCCAAACCCATGCTGTACCACATGGCAGCATGGCATTGCAATTTTCAATTACTTGGGGGAAATAAAGATTCTCATGTGATTAGAGGAAATAATCTTTATTTAATAACAATGCTTAATAAGAACACTTGACAATAGATGGCTGAGAAAACCAAGAATCACCAAATATTTAAATAAAAATAAAAAATAAAGAATATCCTATCTATGAAATGATATAAACACTAAGAAAATAGAATTAACAGAAGAAACTAAAGAAAATGTCAATAGCCTTGGTGTCCATACAGGAATAGGAATCACAAAAATAACCATAAAATATTTTTAAAAATACCTTTTACGAGCAATACTCCAGAATGTCAGAAATTAAAAATATCATTAGCAAAATAAAATGTAGTAAACAGAATAAATAATATAAAAGATAAAACTGATGTCTAAAGATTACCCCAGAATCTGAACTGCATGAGGGGGAATAATAATTACATTACTGGATATGAGAACAACTATTTAATAGACACATCTACTTGGACGACAATGCTTTTTTTTAAATGTCAAATTTCCAGTTTATTAATTTTAATACATTTCTGATCAAAATTACTCATTTCTTTTTGTGCCCTTATTTTTTGCATTAATTTTCATTTTTTACATCTCCATGCTGAATTGAAAAAAACTTCTACTGACCTGTATTTCAGTATATTAATTATTCCTTCAATGGTATCTAATCTGGTGGTAAATTATCTATTATATTTAATTTAAGTAATCACATTTGTATTTTAAATGTTTTGCTTATTTCATCCACAATATAATACTAACACAGTTTTTTCTCTACAATTAGTTTAAGCTTTTAACTAAATTTTTAAAGAGTAAAATATTTATTATCTTTCTCTGATATTGTCCAATGTTTGAAGTCTTTGTGGGTCTAATTATGTTTCATGTTGTTTTTGTTGATTTTAACTTATTTTGCCTTGTTTCACTGTGTTCTTGAGAATATTGTAAGATTTAGCTTCAGGGTATTTTTATAAAGCATTCAGATTTGCTTCTCCCTAACACCTGGGCATACGAGTAGGACCACCTTAAAAAAATGTTCAATTTTTGAGATTACCTGAGTCACGCAGTCACACAAACCCAAGTAGTGGATCCAAGCTACCACTGCTTTAGGTCTGTCTGGTTCACCTTATGCTGAGGGTATAAGATTTGGTCATCTCAATCTTTTAAGGGAGGGCTCCTTAAGAAGACTTAACATATGCTAGTCTTCGGTTTTGGTTTCTTTCTCATTCACCCTGAAACTGTCAAAATAAATATTAATATTTGTAGAGATCGGCAAATTGCAACTGGTAAGGTTATATCCTTACCTCTCTGGGTTCTTCTTTTCTCTTCAAATTTGGTTTGATCACTTATTAAAATTTTATAAGCTCTCAATGCTTTTTAAAAGGTGTTTTAAATGTGCAATCACTAGCATTTTTTAAAGTTTTTTCATTGGGAATTATAGTCTGAATAATATCCCACCATAACTAGAAAATGAAATACCTACCTATTACAAATGCAATACATTTTATATATTGAGTAATTTGCCTTTTTCTAATTAATTTTATTTTAAAACTCATATTAAAATCTATATTTTATAAGAAAAAAAAAAGCTTGACATTTGATTAAGACCAACTTAGCTTCACAAATCTCTACCCGAATGACCACAGGCAAGTGATCTGACATTTGCAAGTGCCTATTTTTTTTTTTTTCATTTATAAAATGGAAATACATAACTGAGCTTAATGTGGATCAAAGAAATTAATATGTAAAAAAAATCAAACACAGAACCTGAAAATGATAGGAAGTCAATTATTCAGCCTACCTATCCACTACTAAAATAATTCTTGGTTATGAACTTCACAAGGGAACACACTGTATTACTACTCTACTCAATAACATGAATTTCATTGTGTATCTTCTGGGGCAAGTGCTTCTTCCAAACAAATTAAACCATGCCACTCACACAATGTTCATCTATCTCATAAGTTTTTGCTATTCTCCTGTTGATTTTACATTTAATGAGGGATAAATTCTATTTTCACAATCATAATCAAATAGTACCTAGAGAATAAAAGCTACTAAGACAAGACAACCCTCAATTCAATTAATAACTAATCCCTCTCTTTTTCAGAGGTACATCAGTTGTTCCTCCAGGATTAAAACCCCTCCTGTTTTACAATAAAAAAGCAGACAGATGACAGGATCTCATTAAACATCTATTGTGCACCCACACAAAAAAAATTAAGTAGGCAGATGCTCTGATTATTTAAAGCAACACACAGAGTTTTAGGATGAAGTTTTATTTCTGAATTTTAACTTATGCACAACTTGTAAAATGTTACTTCATTTATAAATAAAGCAGCACTAACTTGGTAACTTGGAATCACTGTATTTTTCTTCATAAAGAATAAAGTCAGGATAACAGTTAGCTCTCTTTGTTTCTGAATAATGATTCAACATTAATTTAGATATTAGAAGCTCTCACATGCAAGTGTGTGTGCATGCACTCACACACACTACTCTGAAGAGGTAGAATATGAGGAAATAAGATACACATACACAGAGAAGGAATATGTAACATTTAATTTTAACCTCAATGACAGGAGGAGGAGCACCAATAATCTAAAAAAAAAAAGAAATCCCAAAAGTTTTGGATTAGCTGCCTCTCTAGCTAAGTATATATTTTATTGCTAATCAATATGGCATGACCAAAATTATAGCAATGAAAATAGTCATAATTATCATCAAGTAATGAAAATAATATTTATGTGCTCAACAGTATTACTTATATATTCTGATTAAATCATGTGCTATTGAAAGCAGGATGAAGTAGAGCTTATTTTATATCTTAGAATTCTTTTCCATCAATGTCAGTTTAGGAAATGAAAGTTATTAGAATTTCAATGTAATTAATTCATTTGCAATTGGTGTCTATTTGGTTATGTATTTTTTCATAGATATAGTCTGAGAGACATTATCTGGTAACTTTTATCATGTCTCTGAGAAACCAATTTTCTGTAAGGCCTAATTTTTTTTCTTAAATAAATATGTATCTGCTCATGCATATACCAACTTCATGGATTCCAAACAATAAAAAAGTTAATTGTAAGGATTGGACAGAATCTACATTTTAAATGCTATTTAAAACATTATCACACTGTAGTGGAGGAATCATAAACTGCAGAAGTTTTTCAACCATGCCACCACAAACTACATCTCTACAAAATGTTTTGTACTTTTACTTTAAAGAACTAAAATTGGAAACAAAGAGTGGAGAATTATTTCTTCCCTTTCTCTTCCCTTCATCCTCATTCTAGCACCAGTCATACCTGACCATGATTTTTAAAGAGTATAAATTACTCCTCTTCTCAGAGGTAGAAATACACAGAAAAATACACAAAAACCAAATTCTGTCAAAATATATTTAAAGAGGTTTATTCAGAGCCAGTATAAGTGACCAAGGCCTGGGTTACACTATCTCAAGAGGTTCTGAAAGCGTGCCCAAGGCAACCGGGTTACACTTTGGTTTTATACATTCCAAGGAGACAACCAACTGCAGGTAATTGCAGGTAGGTCAGGGTAGGAGCTTGTACGTCATAAGGGGCTTTTAGGGATCCTTTAGTTGACAATTGGTTGAGAGAGTTATGCTATCGTCTAAAGTCTTGAAATCGATAGAAAGGAATGCCTGAGTTCAGATAAGAGTGGGGGAAAGACCAAGGATCTTATTAAGTAGATGAAGCCTCATAGGTGGCCCTCAGAGAGAATAGATGGTAAATGTTTCTTTTCAGACCTTTAAAGGTATCAGACTCTCAATCACTCCTAGGTCCTGGAAAGGCATAGAAAGGGGAAGCATGGCTGCATTAATGAAGATTCTCCATAGATGCAAATTTCCTCTACCTCAGTTTGCTGGCCTTGCAACAGCCATTTCAAAAGACATCAAAGAAATATATTTTAGGGCAAAATATTTTTATATCCTTCAGGGTCTGCTGTCTGTTATGTGATGCTGTACCAGAGTCAGGTTGGAAAGCAAGCCACATTATATAGGGTTAATAAAAAACCCATGTAAAGAGATGTTATCATTCGTAGGGCTGACTCCCAGTTTCTTTAAATAGGAATTTGGGCAAGATGAAAAAAAAAAATCAGAATTTAGTCCTCAACTCAAATATTTTATTCATTCAAACGCTTATTCAAACTACCGAATCCTCCAATAACAGAAAGTATAGTGTCCATCCTGAAGACTTTCATCCCATCTCACAGCATGTTTTCTCCTAGTACACCCTGATTGTCCAAGGACTTCTGAGAACACCATTCCAGAAGAGGTCATGATCTCAACAACTGTCACAGAAAGAAAGAATACAGGAAGACAAGATGCGAAAGTTATGTCAGTGGCTTTCATTCATCACACCACTACGTACTGGTTCTCTAGTACTGTGCTGTTATGATCCTCCTGACTTTTACCCTGTGAATATCCTAGTGCTTTTATATCAGTCTCACATCCTCAACACGCTGGTTTCCATAAAAACGCAACCAAGTCAGATGGCTGTGATCTGGTGGGATTCTAGTTCCATTTGCAGCCTCCAAAGCAGTCTTTTACCTAAGAACACTCAGGCCTCCAAGGTTAAGATAACAGTATACTCCAATGCAAAATTCTCTACCTCCCTACTTCAGGTCCCAGGGACTCTCAACTGCCAGTCACTCTTTGAACAATAAGAACAGACACTTAAATGATGATAACTAATGGCAGCAGCACTAATGTAAGAACGCTGGAACTATTAGTACTCTCATCTTCCAGATGAGAGAACTCAATAACATGATTTACATAAACTGCCTGAAGATACAGTAGAATAATAATAATGAAATCCAGGCATTGTGGACCTGAATGCTGCTACCTAGCTACTCCTCTTTGTGGCTTCTCCATTGTCTTTTCCTGCCAGTTCAGTTCTAACAGGAATAAACAGACGCTATTCAAAAGCTTTTCAAGTCTGAATGAAGATGTACCTAGGGTTGGTGTTGATGAACTTTCCCTCACTCTTCCTTAAGGAAATTTGTTCTTTCCTGCCATTTGAGAGACATGTTCTTCCTCTTCTTCTTCAAAGAGCTAAAATGCACCTTTATTTGCATAATGAAGATAGTGCAGTGAAGTACTTTCTTGCGTTGTCAAGGAAATGAGCTCCAAAGGAACTTCCTTTTAGCATAGAGAAAGCTGCTGTTTTTATTTACTTGCATTTTGCATATGAATATATTTTAATTTAGTTTCAACAGGTAACTGAATTAGAAAGTGAAATTATAAAGTCATTTCTCCAAGAAAGAAGGTAGAGCTTATAAATATTAGTAATCTTAGCTGGGCACGATGACTTACGCCTGTAATCCCAGCACTTTGGGAGGCTGATGCGGGCCAATCACCTGAGGTCAGGAGTTTGTGACCAGCCTGGCCAATATGGTGAAACCCTGTCTCTACTAAAAGTACAAAAATTAGTCTCTACTAAAAATACAAAAATTAGCCATATGTGGTGGCACGTGCCTGTAATCCCAATTACTTGGGAGGGTGAGGCAGAAATTGCAGTGAGCTGAGACTGCACCACTGCACTCCAGCTTGGTGAACAGAGTGAGACTCCGCCTAAAAATAAATAAATAAATAAATAAATATTAATAATCTTTTAAAGAAATGATTGTGGCTATTTCTAGGTCTAATGATACTTGCTTAATCGTATTGAAAACAATGTTATTTCTTTGAATGGCAATGGAATGTAAAATATTTAAAAACGCAATTTGACTTTTTTTACTTTTTAAAATTTATGTAGCTGGGCCGGGCACCCTGGCTCATGCCTGTAATCCCAGCACTTTGGGAGGCTGAGACTGGAGGATCACAAGGTCAGGAGATCGAGACCATCCTAGCTAACACGGTGAAACCCCGTCTCTACTAAAAACACAAAAAAATTAGCTGGGCGTGGTGGTGGGCACCTGTAGTACCAGCTACTCGGGAGGCTGAGGCAGGAGAATGGCATGAACCTGGGAGGTGGAGCTTGCAGTGAGTTTGAGATTGCTCCACTGCACTCCAGCCTGGGTGACAGAGCGACACTCTGTCTCAAAATAATAATAATAATAATAATAATAATAATAATAATAAATAAAATAAAATTTATGTAGCTGATATATTACTATAACCTCACTTGCATTTTTAAATTATTTTACTGGTTCTCTCTTTTTACTTTTATCTTACCTATGCTGTATTTGAAGTTAGTTTTATATAGACAGAATTTTAAAAATTATTTATTTATGGGGTACAAATGCAATTTGGACAATATTGTTGGCCATGGTTTTTCGTTTTTGATTTTTGTTTTTTTAACTACTCTGCCAATCTATGTTTTTTAGTTGGTTTCTATAGGCCTTTTATGTTTAACAATTTGTATGTTGTGGTTGAAGTCTACCACTTTGTTATTTGTTTCTGTTTCTTATTCCTCTGTGTCTTTTTCTTGCTTTCCAATGGGTTACATAAACATGTTAAGTTTCCATCTTAATTTATTTATAGTGTTTTAAATACAATGTTGCATCACTTAATGACAAAAATTACATTCTGAGAAATGCATTAGGCAATTTCTTCACTGTGTAACATCATATAGTGTATTCTATGTGTAAATAGAGATAGCATAACCTACTACTCACCCCAGGTTATGTGGTACAGCCTACTGATCCTAGGCTACAAACCTATACAGCATGTTACTGTGCTGAATACTGTAGGCATCTGCAACACAACGGTAAATATTTGTGTATCTAAACATAAAAAAAAGGTACAGTAAAAAATCCAGTCAAAACATCAAAAATGGTATACCTGATTAGGGCACTTACTATAAATGAAGATTGCAGGGCTAGGAGTTGCTCTGGGAGAGTTAGTGAGTAAGTGGTGAGTGAGCGTAAATGCCTAGGGCATCATTGTACAAAACTGTAGACTTTATAAACACTGAATTTATAAAATTTATAAAGAAACTTATTTCTTTCAAAATACATTAAACTTATCCTACAGTAACTTTTTTACTTTATAAACTTTTTAACTTATTTTTAACTTTTTGACTCTTTTGTAACAACACTTAGCTTAAAACGCATATTGTACACAGAAATACTTTATTTCCTTATATCCTTATTCTCTAAGATTTTTTTGTAATTTTACATCTTTTAATTTTTAATTTTTTTGTTGTTGTTGTTAAAAACAAAGACACAAATGCACATACTAGCGTAGGCCTACACAGGGTCAGTATGATCAACATCACTGTTTTCTACCTCCAGATCTTGTCCCACTGGAAGCTCCTCTAGGCCAATAATGCATATGGATCTGTCGACATCTATGATAACAATGCCCTCTGAAATGCCTCGTGAAGGACCACTGTGAGGCTGTTTTACAGTTGCCTATTACTTTTTTTTTTGTTTGTTTTTGAGACAGAGTCTCGCTCTGTCGCCCAGGCTGGAGTGCAGTGGCGTGATCTCGGCTCACTGCAAGCTCCGCCTCCTGGGTTCACGCCATTCTCCTGCCTCAGCCTCCCGAATAGCTGGGAATATAGGCGCCCCCCACCAGGCCTGGCTAATTTTTTGTATTTTTAGTAGAGATGGGGTTTCACCATGTTAGCCAGGATGGTCTCCATCTCCTGACCTCGTGATCTGCCCGCCTCGGGCCTATTTCTTTTAATAAGTAGAAGGTGTACACTACAATAACAATAAAAAATATGGTGTAGTAAATACACAAAAATGTAATATATTTGTTTATTATTATTACTAAGTAAAATGTACTTGTATTAGTCCATTCTCACACTACTATAAAGACACTACCCGAGATTGGGTAATTCATAAAGGAAAGAGGTTTAATTGAGTCACAGTTCTGCATGGCTGAGGAGGCCTCATGGAACTTACAATCATGGTGAAATGGGAAGCAGTCATCTTCTTCACAAGACAACAGGAGAGAGAAGGATTGTGTGTAGGAGGAGCTGTGAAACACTTAACAAAACCATCAGATCTCCTGAGAACTCACTCACTATCGTAAGAACAGTATGGCGGAAACCGCCCACATGATCCAATCACCTTCCACCAGATCCTGCCCTCAACACATGGGTATTATGAAGATTACAATTCAAGATGAGATTTGGGTGGGGATATAGAGCCAAACCATATCATTCCACCCCTGGCCCCTCCCAGATCTCACATATTTTTTACATTTCCAACCCAACATCATGCCTTCCTAACAGTCCCCCAGAGTCTTAAATCATTTCAGCAGTAACTCAACAGCCCACAGTTCAAAGTCTCATCTGAGACAAGGCAAGACGTTTTGGCCTATAAGCCTGTAAAATCAAAAGCAAGTTAGTTACTTCCTAGATACCATGAGGGTACAAGAATTGGATAAATGCTCCCATTCCAAATGGGAGAAATTAGTCAAAACAAAGGGGATGCAGGCCCCATGAAAGTCTGAAACCCAGCAGGGCAGTCATTAAAACTTAAAGCTTTAAAATAATCTCCTTGTCTCCATGTTTCACATCCAGGGCATGTTAATGCAAGGGGTGGGCTCCCATGGCCTTGGGCAGTTCCTTCACAGGCTGGCATTGAGTGTCTGTGGCTTTTCCAGGTGCACAGTACAAGCTGTTGGTGGATCTTCCATTCAGGGGTCTGGAGAACAGTGGCCCTCTTCTCATAGCTTCACTAGGCAGTGCCCCAGTGGGGACTCTGTGTGGGAGCTTCAACCCCACATTTCCCTTCTGCACTACCCTAGCAGAGGTTCTCCATGATGGCTCCACCCCTGCAACCAATCTCGGCCTGGACATCCAGGCATTTCCATACAACCTATGAAATCTAGGCAGAGGTTTCCACACCTGAATTCTTGACTTCTGTGTACCCTCAGGCCCAACACCATATGGAATCCTCCAAGGCTTGGGGCTTGCACCCTCTGAATCAACAGATGAGCTGTACATTGGCTCCTTTTAGCCACGGCTGGAGCTGGAGTAGCAGCAGCTGGGACACAGGGCACCAAGTCCTGAGGTTGCCCAGAGCAACGGGGCCCTAGGCCCAGCCCATGAAACCATTTTTCCCTCAGAGGCTGCTGGGTCTGTGATGAGAAGGGCTGCCATGGAAGTCTCTGATACGCCCAAGAAAAATTTTACCATTGTTTTGGCTACTGTAATAACATTTGGCTTCTTGTTATTTAGGCAAATTTCTGTAGCCAGCTTGAATTCCTCCCCTGAAAAATGGGTTTTTCTTTTCTACTGCATGGTCAGGCTGCAAATTTTCCAAACTTTTATGCCCTGCTTCCATTTTAAACATAAGTTCCAATTTGAGATAATGTTTCTCAAATTAAAAGTTCCACAGATCTCTAGGACAGGGGCAAAATGCTTCCAGTCTCTTTGCTAAGGCAGAGTAACAGTGATCTTTGGGCTCTAGTTCCTAATGAGTTCTTGTCCATCCAAGACCACCTCAGCTTGGACTTCACTGTCTATATCACTATCAGCATTTTGGTCAAAACCATTCCACAGGTCCCTAGGAAGTTTCAAACTTTCTCACAACTTCCTGTCTTCTTCTGAGCCCTCCAAACACTTCCAACCTCTGCCCGATACCCAGTTCTAAAGTCACTTCCTCATTTTCAGTATCTTTATAGCAGTGCCCCACTCCCAGTACCAATTTACTCTATTAGTCTGTTCTCACACTGCTATAAAGATACTACCCAAGACAGGGTAATTTATAAAGGAAAGAGGGTTAATTGACTCATAGTTCTGCATGGCTGGAGAGGCCTCAGAAAACTTACAATCATGGTGGAATAAAAGCAGTTGGCTTCTTCAAAAGGCAACAGGAGAGAATGAGTGTGTCTAGGAGAAATTTTCAAACACTTTTAAAACCATCGGATCTCATGAAAACTTACTCACTATCATGAGAACAGCATGAGGGAAACTGCCTCCAGGATCCAATCACTTCCCACCGGGTCTTGCCCTTGACACGGGAGGATCATGAGGATTACAATTCAAGATGAGATTTGGGTGGGGACACAGCCAAACAATATCAGTACTAGACAGAATTTTATGTGCTACACTTTTATATAACTGGCAATGAAGTAGGTTTGTTTACACCATCATTGCCACAAACAGGTGAGAAATATGTTAGACTATGATGTTAAGACAGCTCAGCTGCAATGTCACTAGGTAATATTCATCTCCATTATAATCTTATGGGACCACCATGATATATGCAGTCTACTGCTGAGCAAAACATCGTTATGCAGTGCATGATTGTACATGATTTTGTTTGGTTTTATTAATTGCACTGGTTAAAATAATATATGTGTAATGTCAAGATCTACTGTTAATGATGTTTTACCTCTTTGAGTGAAGTGTAGAAAACTTGTTTCCATATGAGTCTCTTTACTATCACTACTTTTTAGATATAATTATCTTAAATACTTCCTCTATGTTCCTTGAGCATCTAACCAGATAGGTCATTAATTTTTGCTTCAACTATTAGAAATGGCTTAAAAACTTAAGAGAAGTTTGATTATACATTATATTTATGCTTAATTTTACCCATTTAGATGGATGTTTGTAAAAGCTGCAAACCTTCTTCTTTTATCATTTCTTTTCTGTTTAGAGAACTTATTCTTTAAAGGTAAGTTTGTTAGCAACACATTACCTTAGCATTCTTTCATTAGACAATGTTTTCTATGTCACTTTAGTGCCTGAAGAATATTATTGCTGGGTATTGAATTTACAGTTCACAGTTCTGTTCTTTCAGTACTTCAAAAATATTATCTGTTTCCTTCCAACCTTCATGGTTTCAGATGGAAAATCTGCTGTGGTTTACATTATTGTTTTTCTGTAAGAAATGTGCCATTTTTCTCTGTTTGCTTTCAAGATTTTTAATTTTTTTTTTTCATTTCCAGAAATTGAATGTATTTGGGTGTATTCTATTTAGGGTTTGCTCTGTTTCTTGAATATTTAGGTTTATGTCTTCCATCTAATTTGGGAAGGTTGAAGTCATTATTTTTTAATAGTTTTTTAGTCCCACATTCTATCTCCTCGTCTTCTATATCTCCTGTGATTATGAATGTTAGCTCTTTTATTATTGTTCTAAAGTTTCCTGAAATGCTGTTAAATTTTTTTTTTATCGGTTTTCTTCTTCTTGTTCAGACAGTAAATTCTGTTGGCATGTTTTCAGATTCACTGATTCCATCTTCTGCTCTGTGCTCTCTTCTTTTGTGACCATCCTCTGCATCTATTATTTCCATTATTGTATTTTAATTTTATTTAGTTCATGTTTACTTTTTATAACTTATAAGTCATTATTGAATTTATTTTTAATTTTAACTTTTATTTGTTCCAAGAGAATACAATATATAATTGCTTATTTAAACACTTTTATGATGGTTTCTTCAAAATCCTTGTTAGATAATTCCAACCTCTTTTTTTTTTTTTTTTTTTTTTTTTTTTGTCTGAAACAGTCTCACTCTGTTACCCAGGCTGGAGTGCAGCGGTATGATCTTGGCTCACTGCAACCTCCATCTCCCAGGTTCAAGTGATTCTCCTGCCTCAGCCTCCCAAGTAGCTGGGATTACAGGCATGTGCCAATGCACCCAGCTAACTTTTTATATTTTTAGTAGAGGCGGGGTTTCACCATGTTGGACAGGCTGGTCTTGAACTCCTGACCTCAAGTGATCCACCCATCTTGGCCTCCCACAGTGCTGGGATTACAGGTGTGAGCCACTGCGCCCAGCCCCAACCCCTTTTTTATGTCTGTGTTGGTGTCTGTTGTCTTTCTCTCATTCAGGTTATGATTTCCTAGTTCTTTTGTCTTATAAGTGATTTTTATTGTGTCCTGAATTTTTTTTTATATTATGAGAATTTTTCTCTCTTATTATTTCGTAGATGGTTCCCTATTGATGTGTAACCTGAGAGCTGGGTGGGTGTGCGTGTTTATCTTCCTGATGGGACCTACTAATACCATCCTACCAAAAGTAGAGTACTAACTTATACTTCCTTCTTGCAGACTGGTTAGGTGGAAGTTTGTCTTCTCCCTCCACCCACTGGCAACCTCATGGCAAAAGTAGGGTACTGAGTTACATATCTTTGTTTCCTCCAAGTGAAAAAATAACCTCACTTCCCTGATGTGGTCCACTGACACCAGGGAGGGGGTGAGTAGGGGCCAACTCATACCACTTGGTTGCTTCCAAGGAGTAGGAGTGGGGAGAAGCTGTGTAAGAACAGAACTGATCATTAAAGACCCTATTATAAATTCTTGCTTTTATAGTACTTATTCTCGTGGCTTAAATATTCCACACCAATTAATCACCACGGAATATATGAGACATTATATTAATTATTAAATTTTACATGGCAACACTAACAATATTAACTCCCATTTTCTATCTCTTTAATTGAGGTCATTCTTTAGAAGTTTAAGTATAATCCATTCTTCTGTCCTACACGACTGAGTGAAAGAGCATGTAGCAGCAACATATAGTACCAGTATGTAATCCTAATGCAATGGCACACCCCAGATGACCCTTTTGTGTATTGGGATTGACCATGGTTTTTCAGTTTAATCAAAGTTTAATTGATTAAACTCGGGGTTCACATTTTCTTTCTACACACCAATATTGAAGAGAAGTACTACAAAATACATAGGAGCACTAAACTGGTAGTAATAAGAAAAACATAAAATATTTAAGATAATGTGTTGCTTTTATTTCTAATATTAGCTACTGATACAATCAAAGCACTGCGGCTCAGTTTTCTCTTTTGTAAGAGGACAAGTTTGTATTAGTTAATCTTTAAATGTCTCTACAATCTGATTCTGAGATTGTGAATAAATAGATCTAAATACTGTTATAGGTATATAAATACAGATATAAATGCAGGTATGGGTAAAATTATGGCTATGGGTCCCAGCCTTAAATTCTTATTTTTTTATAACTAATTGATGTTCAGGGATAGATTTATGTGATCTGCTCATTTGCAGGGGCCCATCACTTGGCTAATTCTTTGGTGTCATTCGTGTCAAGTTTTAAATAATTTTTGAGGAAGATGTCCTATATTTTAATTTTGCACTGAACACTGCAAATTTTGTAGCTGTTCCTGTTAATTTGTTAATGAAATTTCTCTTTAGAAACTATTAAATTAATAAGACAATAATTAAGCAAATAATTATTAAATTTTACATGGTAACACTAGCAATATTAACTCCCATTTTCTATCACTTTAATTCAGGCCATCCTTTAGAGGTTTAAGTATAATCCATTCTTATGTCCTACACAACTGAGTGTGTAGTACCAGTACGTAATCCTAATGTAATGGCACACCCCAGATGACCTTTTTGTGTGTTGGCATGGTTTTTCAGTTTAAGCAAAAGTTTAATTGATTGAAACTTGAAGTTCACATTTTTTTTTCTACACACCAATATTGAAGAGAAGTCCTACAAAATACTTATTCTATGGAAAAAAACAAAGTCCACTTTAGATCTAAAATGGTTGCATAAAATTTTGAGAATAACTTAAATGTTATATGAATGTAAGTAAAAATTTTACTGTAAACTTTGTAAATGCTAACTATAAACAGAAAACAAGTATATCTTATATAAAGAAATGTGTAGACTCTCTGTATTAATCCATTTTCACATTGCTATAAAGAATACCCGAGACAGGGTAATTTACAAAGGAAAGAGGCTTAATTGACTCACAGTTCTGCACGGCTGGGGAGGCCTCAGGGAACTTACAATCATGGTGGAAGGGGAAGCAGGCACGTCTTACATGGCAGCAGGGGAGAGAGAGCATGTGAAGGAGGCACTGTCAAACACTTGTAAAACCATCAGATCTCATGAGAACTCATTCACTATCATGAGAACATCTAGGGGAAACTGTGCCCATGATCCAATCACCTCCCAACAGGCCCCTCAACACATGGGCATTATGGGAATTACGATTCAAGATGAGATTTGGGTGACAGCACAGAGCCAAACCATATCACTCTCTGTGCCTTGTATTTCTCATACTAGTCAATGCCAACTCATTAAAATTATCTGGAGATATAACATTTTTGGGGGATTATATATTGCCACTACTGTTATATTTTTGTCAGGATAATGTAGCAATTCCCAAATAAGTCATACTTAAACCTCCACAGAAAAGATAAATAGAAATGAGAATTCCATTGCCAGCATTGCTTTGAAAAACGTTTCAGAACTTTGAATATATATACTCATAAACACACACACATACACAGATATATATTTCTGCATGTGTATATACATATATGGATACATATGTTCTTAAACTTTCTTTTAACAGAAAAATTAAAATAGAAGGAAAATAATAGAGCACTAGTTATATAACTAGTATTATATAAATAATGTTATGTAACTAGTTATATAATTAAAAATATAAGAACCTAGGTGAGAATGAGAAAGTCTAGATTTAGATTTACTACTTTTCCTAATACACACCCACACACATATATATGTGTGTGTGTGTGTGTGTGTGTGTGTGTGTGTGTGTGTATACTGTATTTGTCTCATAGTGGCTGGAGCACATTACTACCAACTTAGTGGATTAAAACACCACAAATCTACTATCTTACAGTTCTGCAAGTAAAGACTAAAATAGAGTCACATAGGTGAAAATCAAGAGCTTCTACTCTCTTGAGGCTGCTTGGATTCTTGGCTATAACCCCTTTCTCCATCTTGAAATTCTGTCACTCCAACCTCTGCTTTCATAACACATCTCCCATCTCCTTCCTAACTCGAAGGCATCTTCTCAGTCTTACAAGAACTCCACTTGGGTTCACATTTGGAACACCCAAATAACCCATCTTAATATTCTCATCTCTAGATCCTTAAATAATTGCTTCTACAATGTCCTTTTTGTCATGGAAGGTGACATTTTCACAGGTTCCAGAAATTAGGACGTCGACATTTTAGTAAGCCATTATTCTGTCTACCACAGTGGCCTTGAATAGAAATCCTTCAGTTTTCATATACAGAAACAAAACATTCTTCCAAATGAGGAAGCTAGATTGGGAAAAAAAAAAGTCAGCCACACAGGTCTCCCCATTAAAACTTAAAGATGGTTACATATTTTATTCTGAGTTAAAATGGAGAGTCTTCCTATATAACTCTCTTTCCACTGTATGATTTATCACTTAATAGCTCTCCCTTTCCGTTGTATGATTTGTCACTTAATATCTCTCTCTTACTTGAAGTCAGAGAACAGCAAACAGTTTGCAAAATATATAAATAGTCTATAAGTTGTGGTCCAAATAGTTCTTAGAATTCAGCTACATCTAAGTACACAATTACTTATTTAAGCTTGATTCAGTGAAACAGATTTTCAGTTGAGTTTCTTAATGGGAATGACCAGTCACATTTTTCAAATTTGGCTTTATGCATAAATTGACAAATTATTTATAATTTGAAACATCTGGGCTCATTTTTTAAAAACAACTCATAAAATAAGAAATCATTTTATTGGTTCAAGCACGCATGCTATTAAATGACTCATCTTAATTTTTATCTTTTCATAAATGTTGAAAAATCTCAAGAAACCGTTATGTTGTCCTAAAAATGGGCAAGCAAGGTTAATTTGTTTTTGATGTTTAGATAGTTAGGTTATTTCTCATTTTTCTTTTAGGGATTACGTTGCTATCCTAAAGCTTGACATTGGTTAGAGTCAGCCAATGTCAAATTTTTACCTATAGATAGTCTTAGAAAGATATTGCAAATTAGTGCTGCTTCTAGTAGCTAAAATAACCTGCAGCTAGCTGGCAGGCAGCAGTGAATATTTTAAAAGGTGTACCAAATTACATTTAGATTTTCAGTTCCTTTTGAAGTGAAAAGAATATTCAAAGCTTGGAAGTCTTTGACTCTCATAAGCCTAGTAGATTTCAAGTATAAACATAGATTTAAAGATAGTTTACAGACAAATTGTGGATTTTATGTTATAATCTCAGATTAATGATTTTTTCCTTTTTGTGATTTTTTTCCCAAAGTAATTGTAAAGGACTGTGTGTGTGTGTGTGAGAGAGAGAGAGAGAAACAGAGAGAAAGAAACAGAGATAGAGACATTGTCCAAATGTACACGTAAGATTTTCTGTGACAATTACACATGGATTATCTAGTAACAAGTTGAACTACATGAAGCAATTGTATATCATCAGATATATACTATATGAAACAACTGTGTATAATCAGATTTATACTACATGAAGCAACTATATATAATCAGATTTACACCACTTTCTGAAGAAAACTACAATTAATTGGATACTAAAGTGGTTTCTGAAAGCCTAATTATTCTCAAGTCCATATGTGTGTTTGGTGGGATGGCAGTGAGTTTTTGGAACAAGCTTAACTGTTTTTTGAAATAGTTGTGAACTTCACAAGTTAGATGAAATACATGTCACAAGAAATTTTCCATGTGGAGACAATTTAGTAGTATTTCCACATTTATGTTCAATAAGTGTAAATTATAAAATGATATTTTTGCTCAAAAATAAATGAAAATAACACATTTGAAACAAAAGTAGACTCACCCACCCTCCAGAATGATATCCAAAGACCAAAGGAAGTTTGGCCTTTTTTAGGCATTTGAGACTTGCTTTCAGTAAATCATATCATCATATTTATTTCTATAACTTTTCTTTTTTTTTGAGATGGAGTCTCGCTTTGTCACCCAGGCTGGAGGGCAATGGCGTGATCTTGGCTCAGTGCAGCTTCCGCCTCCTGGGCTCAAGTGATTTTCCCACCTCAGCCTCCCCAGTAGCTGGGATTACAGACGTGAGCCACTATGCCTGTTTATTTATTTATTTATTTTTTAAGTAGAGATGGAGTTTCACCATGTTGGCCAGGCTGGTCTAAAACTCCTGACTTCAAGTGATCCACCCACCTTGGCCTCCCAAAGTGCTGGGATTACAGGCGTGAGCCACTGGGCCCGACCTCTGTAACTTTTTATGTTACTGTTTATCATGAGTACGCACAAAAAACCACTTTTTGAATATCTTTTTCTCAGATATTTAATTATTAAGAACAAGGCAAAAATGTGTATACATTAGGTAAAAACTGCGAAAGCATGTCCAAAGAAGAAATAAAGTTCTGTAAATACTCAGAATCAACAGTTGAATAGGTATTCAGGTTTTCAGAGTTAAAAGCACAAATGCATATTTTAGTCTCTTTTCATTTTATTTTAAATATGACTATCCATAGAATGACTATTGCACAGTTTCATATAACTCCCTTATTTGTGTATTTAGTAACTGAGATTCATTATTTTTTAATTAGTACCTAAATAATTACTAGTAATCTGAAACTAATTTTCTTTTATGAGGGCAAAATGCTTTTTCTTTTAATAGGAAAAACCAAAAAGGAAGTTAGTTTAAGTATTTTTTAAATAAAAGAAATTGACAAAATAAAAAGCATGTTAAATTTAATTGTAACCCTGATGTATGTAAAACCTTTATTAAAAATATTTTTCCAAAGTTCTTATTAAGCTTTAATTAGCTATTTGTATATATTACCTTACTGGCATTTTAAAAGTATAATTATTACATATTGTGTGGAAAGATTTAAACATTCAGAAAATATAAAACTCAGTGCAACTATTTTTTCCTACTCTTCATGTATTATAATTCAGTCTTTTTGATAATTTTATATATATAGAAGGTATGATATTTATATTACATTTAAAATTTAGTACAACTTTTATTAAAGTGTACATATTATTTATACAATGCTTTTTTCTTTTCTATATCTATACAGCTTACCCATTTTTGAGAAGGCTGCATTTTTTTCTATAACATGTATATGTTGTACTTTACTTGTCTATATCCCCATTAAGAGATATGTTGCTTCCAGGTTTCATTATTATAAATACTGTTTCAGTGAACAGCTTTCAATATACATCTTTGTGCCCATGTGACAATAAAAGTATTTTTGTATGCATCTGCAAGTATAATAGTTATAGTGTCCATGCATTTTCAATTGGGTAGTTGTTTCAAAATAGCCCTACATTTTTCAAATAATTCTAATTCAAAGGACTGCTCCCCTTTCAAACCTGGTAAATATTGAAGTCCTTAATGCTTTTGCCAGAATTAGGCTGAATTGACAGAGCACTGATATGTAGAAGATATATATATATATATATATATATATACATGTATATTATATATATAATATATTATAAATATAATATATATATATAAAATTCTTAAAATTTAGCAAGTAACTGAACAACAAAAATGACAGATAAAAGAAGCAGGTCATGCATAGCCTATCTGCCTGAGATTTATTTAACCCTTCTTCAGAAGAGGCTTTGATTCTTGTCTCTCTGTGTCTACCTATAGACAGCATTTCTCCCAGGAAGCTTGCCCTGACCTCCTAGAATTGGTTATGTACCATTTATATATTTTTCATATTCCAATGTACATAACTCATAACAGAAATTATCACAAGGGAACAGCTGTGGTTTTATTGTTATGTCTAGCTATCCAGCTATCATCTTCACCAGACTGTAAGCTCCTTGAAGGCAGAAGCCAGATTTATCTTCATGACCTCTGTGTTTTAGATGAGGTCTCAGAGATAGAGGTCAGAATTTTCCCTCTAGGTAAATTAATTAGATTAACCTCAACTTATACAAAACAGTAGTCATTAAATTTATCCCCAGCCATCAGGAGCTTAACTACTCTGGAGAGAGAGCCAGGTGTTGGAGTAGGCAATTAAGACATCAAGACAAAAGGACATTAACAAACCTTTGAGGTTAAACTGGAAAAAGCCCTGACGGTCCAGTCCCCATCCTTTTTTTCCTTCATGAAACAGCTCTATCAAGGATCACATGGGTCAGCACAGATGTGGAGTTGTCTCACTATCAAAGGAACCCTGAACAACAGGCTCCTGCCTGCAGTTTTATGGAAGGTCAGGAAAAGGCTGGGAGCGGAAAAGCACTGAGTATTGAATCAGAAGGAAGACAATTGTCTTCAAGACTCCTCCTCCTCTCCCCATGAAAAGGAGGTCTTGGGCAAACATGCCTGGGGAAGGTCTGCCAAGGTCCCACAGTGGAGAGGCCTCCAGGGGAGGCACCAGTCAAGTGATGCTGATCTGTGTGTGAGCATGGCCCTGCAGCCCTTACTGAAACTGCCATTAGAGGACTATGCACTAGTGTGGGGAGGGCAGCTCTCCCTGTGGGACCCACTTGGTCAAGTCTTTGTCATTGTTTATGGATGGGCCCAAAAATCACATATAGGATTGAGTCTGGGGCTGAACTCTTTACTGCTCTGTCTGTATTCCCTGTCTTGGTTGACACCTAATACATGACTAAGAAACTAAGAAATCATTTTAGACGTCGTTTTTGTGTCTGTGTTTTATGCTTTGTTGGCTTGAAAACTTCATCCAATAAAACTTTAGTTATTTTTATTACCATTTCTTCCTTTATGACCCCACAGCATCCTCCATGTGCCAGGGTCCAAATCATCTTTAACCCGGACTATTCTATCAGTACCCAAATATATTCTTTCATCAAAATATATTCTTTCTCTTCTCTGGCTGTAATCTCATTCATTTCCAGGCTACTTCTTTTCAAACTAAAAAGCAAATATAATCACACTATTCTCTTTCTTCAAACACTTTCCCAATTCCTAGAGTAAAATCCCCCTTTTATAACATATAAGGCCTCAGTGACCTACCCTCAGGACTTCTTTAATTATTCTCCCATATTGTCCTATTATGTACCTGTTCCATCATCCTTACAACCCTCAGAACTCCCTAATCTGTTTTAATGCCACATTGTTATGCTCTTAATTTCCTTTGATAAAATGATTCTTTCCATTCATAAACTAGTTGATTACCACAATTTCTTAAGTATTCTATTGAAGTTTATCTTATTAGTCCATTTCACACTGCTATAAAGATACTACCTGAGAATGGATAATTTATAAACAAAAGAGGCTTACTTGACTCACAATTCCACATGGCTGAACTTATAAGTGAACTTATAATTAAACTTATAATCATGGTGGAAGGTGAAGGGAAAGCAAGGCAAGTCTTACACTGTGGCAGGTAAGAGAGAGAGCATGCAGGGGAAACTGCCACTTATAAAACCATCAGATCTCCTGAGAACCCCCTCACTATCACAAGAACAGCATAGAAAACCACCCTTTTGAGCTAATCACCTCCCACCAGGTCCCTCCCCATGACACATGGGGATTACAATTCGAGTTGAGATTTGGGTGGGGACACAGAGCCAAATCATAACATGTATCTTCTTTGCCAAGATTTTCCTTACAACGCAAAGTAGATTGACATATTTTAATTTCTTCCATCCCACCCCACCATAATATTCTTACCTCTATGACAGTGCTCATCAAAATTTGTAGCTATTATTTGTTTAAATGACTTCATTATGCTTCTTAAGAGGCATAAACTTTCTGCTATATTCATCTTTGTATGCCTGTCACACATTACATTGGCTGAGACAAGGTAAATATTTAATACATATCTATTAAATAAGAAACTTAAAAAAATAAAAGAGTGAATGAATAACTGTATCTAGGAAGTATGAAAGTGACTTATCTTTTAGCATTTTTCATCAAGGAATTAAGAAATGTGTGGGGAAAAAGTTAAGAGGCCCCAGTTAAAATGGCTTTTATCCCAAATTCAGGCAATAACAAAAGTTGGCGAGGATATACAGAAAAAGGAACCCTTGCACACTGTCAGTGGGAATGTACATTAGTATGACCCTTAAGGAGAACAGTCTGGAGGTTTCTCAAAAAGCAAAAATTGAGCTATCATATGATCCAGCAATCCCACTCCTGGGTGTATAACCAAAAGAAAGGACATAGTATATCAGAGAGATATCTGCACTCCATGTTTATTTCAGCACTACTCACAATAGCCAAAATTTGGAATCAACCTAAGTATCCATCAAGAGATGAATGAATAAAGAAAATATAGTACATATACAAAATGGAATACCATTCAGCCATAAAAAACAATGAGTTCCTGTCATCTGCTACAATGTGGATAGAACTGGAGGTCATTATGTTAAGTGAAACAAGCCAGGCGCAGAAAGACAAACTTCGGATGCTCTCACTTATTTGTGGGAGCTAAGGCTTAAAACAATTGAACTCATGGAGATAAACAGTATAAAGGTTAACAGGCTGAGAAGGGTAGTGAGGGTTTGGGAGGAAAGCGGGGCACACTAATAGGTACAAAAACATAGTTAGAAAGAATGAATAAGACCTAGCATTTGCTAGCACAACAGGGTGACTATAGTCAAAAATAATTTAATCGTACATTTAAAAATAACTAGAAGAGTATAATCAGATTGTTTGTAACACAAAGGATAACTGTGTGAAGTGATGGATATTCAATTTACCCTGATGTGATTATTATGCATGTATCAAAACATCTCATGTACTCCATAAATTTTCAAAAGAAGTATGTATAGCATAACGCTTAAAATAATATACTGTAATAGTCTACAACTTGGCAAGAAATTAAGCTTTCGTTTATTTTTGTCACAACAGGTATACTACATGCAGATTAAAATATATATTTTTTATATATATATATATATATATATATATACCATCTATTTTTTAAGGGCATTTTTCATAACCTTGAAATATAAACAATAAAAATTATGAAGCAATAATTTATTTTTTTAAAAAAATCCACTTGCCAAACAAACAAGATACTCCTTCCAGGATGTCAGTAATATCAAGATAAAATGCCAGAGAATTTTAGCTCAGTATAGGAAATCAAACAGCTAATTTTTAACTTTGATGGAGGAGAAAATTAGATAAATTCTGAAAATTCATCCATTTATTTTTCTCTCTCCATATATGTTAACAACAAGCAAACACATTAAATCCTTAAATTTGGTTACTAAGTTCACAAATGTCATGGACACAGTGAGGTAATATTTACAGACTGAATACTGATTTACTATCCTTTGAGTTTATTTCTACATTTCATAGAGTAGATGCTCTTTATAGATAAACTCTTTTGGAAAAAGTCCAGATAACTGGATAATTAACTATTAATATCACTTTTTGAAAATTAAATAGTAATATGTTTCTTCCAGGAAAAATTATTTAACAGGTTTTATTCAGACTACTAAGACATATGAAAACCTGACATTAACTCTTTGGTTTTCTAAAGATTCTCTTCAGGAAAATATGCCATCAGTCTTTCTAAATGTATTCAATTTTATCTCAGCAGTCTTGAGCCTCCATCTACATGATGTTAATATACCTCCAAACAGCCATTCACATTTCTTAAGGTGATGAAATATGTATTACCTATAATATTCTTAACTAAGTTATTGTAAGGCATATTTATCATGCCACATAATCCTGGGCGAAAATTGGATATAATAACAATTCCCAAAAATGCCTCTTGACAAAGAGTTGGAATTCAACTTTTTTCTTCTACTGCTAAGGATGTTTGCATCATGTCTTTGGAAAAATGTATCTCATAATTGCAAAGCCCTAATTCCTGATGCTCCATTAACAATATTACTCAAGATATTGTTGCTGATGTGGCTGCTTATATTATTCCCAAGTGAATTTGTAGATATTTAGCAATAGCTGAGGCCATCTACAACGTAAATTCCTATCTATGTTACTCCTCTTGAGAATCTACTCTTGGTACATTTAGCAAAGGAAGACACTTTTAGCAACACAGCAGTCCCCCCTTACCAGCGGTTTCACTTTCCCCAGTTTTAGCTATCAGGGGTCAATCATGTTTTGAAAAATATTAAATAAAAGTTATAGAAATAATAACTTTGAAATTGTGTACCATAACGTGATAAATTCTCAGGTTGTCCATCCTACTCCCTGTTTTCTTTATCACAAAAAGAAAAGTAGATAATAATAAGGTATTTCAAGAGAAAGAGAGACCACATTCACATAACTTTTACTACAGTATATTGTTATAATAATTCTATTATTAGTTATGTTCATATAATTATTAGTAAAAGGAATATAATTATATTCCTATATAATTATAGAAGTATACTACTCCTATACATAATATATTAGTATAACTAATATAATTCTATTATCATTAGTAGTGTTAGTTTAACTAATAAACTAATAGAATTATTAAACTAATATAATTAGCCTATTAGTTTAATACTACTCCCATAATGAGTATATTAGTTTAAACAAATACTACTACTATAATAATTAGTAGTAGTTTAACTAATAAACTACTATAATTATTAGTTAAATTTCACTATGCCTAATTTTTAAATTACAGTCTATTATAAGTATGTATGTGTAGGAAAAATAGTACATGTTTACTATCCACTGTTTCAGGCATCAACTGGGGGTCTTAATACATATCTTTTTACAGATAAGGGTGGAGCTACAGTTACCTTCCAAAAGGTAGTATTGCCACTGCCATTGTTGCCTGCTAATGTAAATTCCAAAGAAGTAGATGATTTTGGGAAGGGCAGAAAATAAAAATTTTCATCAATATTAATGATTTTGCCATTAATGCAGATTACCATTGCCATAGTCTGAGAAGTGACATGAAACTTGAGATTGCTAGAGCTCATAGGACAGTAGAACAGTGAAGACATTGAGGTTTAAAGTGTTAATGTTATGAAGATAGCTAAAAACAGGACTTGATCAGTATAATCCTCTACCTAACACAACTTGGAATGGGGCAGAGAGTAAAGAAATGGACCTCGGTAAGGACGTGCATGAGCACTAAGAGATAGTGCTTGATGCAAGAGCAATAATAACAACAATAACCACAACAAAGGTATATTATTGGGAGCATTAGAGAAGAACAACAGAAAACTAAAAATGTTGTGGATGTTACCTCCAAGCAAGAAAATGGGACTAGGGACACAGGCCCTTTTTGTTTTTTGCTTGCACATTCTGTAATTAGAAAATGTTATTTTATAGACACACATATCAAATAATAGGAGAAAAAAGATATTTCATGTAAGATTAGTTTATTCTCAATATTCTGAATTAGAATATTGGATTAAAACAATATTTAGAATGATAGAAGCTGGATTAAAACAACTTTAAAACAAGCATTTGTACTGCATTGACATCTCTATACAAGTTGCTGTCATACTAGTTGAGAAGAGCTTGGGGACCTGGACTTGGGAGATTTAATGGACCGATAAAATTACTCAGAGGGGTAACCTTATAAAGAATTCTGAAACCAAGAATTTGGAAGTCTAAGAAAAGAAGGGACAACAATGCAAGTTGTCCAACCAAAACCTCTCTTCCCTACTTTCTTGTTTCTGAATGCCATTTTTGTTTGAAAGAGCAATGTGTCCTGCCAAATAACTACAATGCCCAGTCTCCTTGCCCTTGTGGCTGGTGACATGTTATAGTCCTGTAGAAAGATACGTGGGCTGAAGTTGTTGAAAAGGACACTTTGTTCTTCAACTTCTCCCTTCCTGCCCTGATATAAAAACATGATAACACACTACTTATTACTCTAAATATGCATAACTTTTATATGCACTAGGAAGTGTATATATCAATACTTAGAGATACAATTTCAGAAATGGTCAAATTAAAGAAAACAAGTTAAAAGTTTACAAGTTCTTATAATAATTATAGAGGCAAGATAAATTACAGATTCAATTTTTTAAACTAGTAATTTAATTAATCACATCATGGATAATGTTTAGAGCTAAAATTTATTCTGTATTTACATAATCAATATTGTAATTAAAAACCACTGAGTATTTTTTGTTGCAACTGAATGTTGTGTCCCCTCAAAATTCATGTGATGAAAACTTAACCTTCAGTATGATGGTAGCAGGACCTATAAGCTGCATATTTATAATGAACTTTGGGAAGTAATTAGCTTATTATGGTGGAGGCTTCATAAATTAGATTGGTGCCCTTAAAAATGACTCTTGAGAGCTCTTTCTGTCCACCATGTGAAGCTGCATTGAGAAGGCAGCAGTCTGAAACCCAAGAGAGCTCTCTCACCAGAACCCAATTATGCTGGCACTCTGCTGTTGGACTTCCAGCCTCCAGAACTGTGAGATGTGCATTCCGTTATTTAAAAGCCACTCAGGTTATGGAACTTTATTAAAGCAGCCTGAACGGCTGAAGATGGAAATTGATCATGAGAAGTGGGAGTGCTGTTATTATAAATACCTAAAACAAAGTGAAAATGGTTTTGGGCTCAGTGATTGGCAGAGATTGATGAGGTTTTATGCAAAATGCTAGATTACTGTGGAAGAAATTTAAAAGCCAATTCTCGTGAGGGCTCGGAAAGAAATATAGAAGAAAACGCTGTCTTCTCAGAAAATAATTAAATAATCATGAACAGAATATTGATAAAATATGGACAGTAAAGGTCATTCTGTTGGAGTCTCAAATGGAAATGAAAATGTTATTGGAAAATGGAGCAAAAGCAATCCATGTTGAAAAGTGGAAACAAACTTCTTTGAATTGTATTCATGCTCTTGTGTTTTGCGGAAGGTGGAACTTGTGTGCAGTGAAATTGGACATTTAACCCAGCAGATTTCTCAGCAACATGTAGAAGCAGCAGCTTGGTTCCTTCTGAATCCGTAGAGTCAAATGTAGAAAAAGAAAAAGGTTTGAAGATGGAATTGTTAAGGAAAAAGTAACCATAATTTAAGATCTGGGAAATTCTCAGCCTGTCCATATTGCAAAAAAAGTGAGAAAGTGTGTTCTGAAGAGAACATGAAGAGTGTTTCGGACCCTTACTGATTTGATTAATATGGGTGTGAACCACAGGCTTAATCAAACATCTCAACACAAACCATGACTAGAAATGGGATTATACCAGGAGAAACACTGCCAGTTGGGACTAAAGGAAACAGAGATAATGGGACGAAATAAAGGAAGACATTCGGAATGCTTAAGCCCTACAGGCCCGGACCCGAGAGCTATTCAGTTGTGGATGTGTGCTATTCTCTCCTTCAAAATTACGGAAGAAGGGGCGCAAAGGGGATTTGGAGACAATTACAGCTGCTGCTTTTACCAAAAATCCAGAGGGTATGGCAAGGTGGGCCAAGGTTACCTCCATTTTGATTTCAAAGGACAGAAATGATGCTCAGAGGAGCTGTGTGGGAGGGCCATCCAGTGAAGCCCTGGGTGAGTGACCTCAGCCCTGACAAAAGACTGTGCCATAAGTGGGTCCAGTGCATAGAGTCAGCAGCGAGCAGTGCCTCACTGAGCTGTCGGGGACTGTCTGGAAGGTGAGTCATCAAGCCAAAGAGGATGCTTCTTGAACCTTAGGGTTTGATGGAGTTTGCCCTGTTAGGTTTTAGATTTACTTGGGATCCAGCATTCATATATTTTATTTTTTTCGAATAGTGGTTCTTTTTGGAATGGGAATGTTTATCCTATGCCTGTCTCACCATTGTATTTTGAGAGTTCATGTTGTTTGATTCCACAGGTTCACAGATGAAGAGAAATTTTGTGAGAATGAACTGTACCGTGAAGCTCACCTGCATCTGATTTAGGTAATATTTAAATAAGACCTTGGACTTTAGACTGGACTTGAGGCTGGAATGAGTTAAGATTTGTGGATTTGTTGGAATGGAATGACTGCATTTTGCATGTGAAGACATGAATTTTGGGGAACCTGGGGCAGAATGTTACGGACTGAATTTTTAAAGTGTACCCTCAAAATCTGTATATTGAAATCGTAACTGTCAATGTAATGGTATTAGTAGTGGGACCTTCAGGAGGTAATTAGGTTGTCATAGTAGAGGCCTCATGAATAGGCTTAGTGTTCTTATAAAAGGGACCTAAGAGAGCTCTCACTTCTTTCCCCATGTGCTTATACAAAAACCCAACAGTCTGCAACCGCAAAAGGGCCCTCCCCAAAACCAGAACATCCTGGCACTCTGACTTTGGACTTCCAACCCCTAGAACAGTAAGAAATACTTTTTTTGTTATTTGTAAGCCACTCAATCTATGGTATTTTGTATAGCAGCCCAAACTAAGACACTCCTCTACACTACAGTGTACACCACATTCTTCTGCCTCTTGGTATGCTTCAGTCACATTGAACTATATTTTGTTTACTAAACATGGCAAATTTATTACTGCACTATGGTTTTGCCATATAATTTTTCCTGTCTTTTCAAACAGAAATTATTTCACAGCATACGCAGCTATAGGCAATTATCTAGCTTATGTATAAAATTACTTTCCTGATATTTGTCTCATTTTTTGTTTTTAAATGTTTTAAATAAACAAATAATAATTGTTTTGAGGGGTACAGTATTATGTCTTCGTATATATTTATATTGTGGAATGATTAAATCAAGCTGCTTAACACATCTCTTATGTCACATATTTATCTTTTTGTTGTGAGAACACTGAAAATAGACTTTTTAGCAATCGAAAAAAGGCAAACCCTTAAAAGTAGAGAGTAGAATGCTAGTTAATGCTGGAGGCAAGGGATAGGGAATGGGGAGATGTTGTTCACAGGGTACAGTTTCAGTTAGACACAAAGATTGAGTTTTAGAGATTGACTTTATAGCAGAGTGACTATATTTAAAAATGACTTCTTGTACATTTCAAATTTTCTATTTAAAATACACGTAGTATCTGTATTCCCAGTTCTTAAAACATGACCTATTAAATAACAGATTTGCAAGACTGAATGATTTTTTTTTACCTTGTCCTGATCTCGATTTTTTTTAAACTTTATCTCATTAATTGCTAATTCT